>NC_000020.11:1581486-1733001 GCF_000001405.40 Homo sapiens | reverse complement strand
TTTAAATCGGGTGAGTGGCCTCTTTTTACTCTCTTCTCCAACCTCTCTCACTATCCCTTAACCTCTTTCTCCTTTCAATCTTGGCGCCACCCTTCAATCTCTCTCTTCCCTTAATTTCAGTTCCTTTCCTTTTCTGGTAGAGACAGAGGAGATGCGTTTTATCCATGAACCCAAAACTCCGGCACCAGTCACAGGCTCGGGAAGACAGTCTTCCCTTGGTGTTTAATCACTGCGGGATGCCTGCCTGATTATTCACCCACGTTTCAGAGGTGTCTGATCACCGCAGGGACGCCTGCCTTGATCCTTCACCTTAGTGGCAAGTACCACTTTGCTGGGGCACAAATACCCCCCACCCCTTCTCTCCATGTCTCTACCCTCTCTTTTCTCTGGGCTTGCCTCCTTCACTATGGGCAACCATCCACCCTCCATTCCTCCCTCTTCTCCCTTAGCCTGTGTTCTCAAAGACTTAAAACCTCTTCAGCTCACACCTGACCTAAAACCTAAACACCTTATTTTCTTCTGCAATGCTGTTTGACTCCAAAACAAACTCGACGATGGTTCCAAATAGCCAGAAAACGGCACTTTCAATTTCTCCATCCTACAAGATCTAGATAATTCTTGTCATAAAATGGGCAAATGGTCTGAGGTGCCTGACATCCAGGCATTCTTTTACACATCGGTCCCTCCCTAGTCTCTGTTCCCAATGTGACTCACCCCAAATCCTCCTTCTTTCCCCCCCACCTGTTCCCTCAGTCCCAACCCCAAGCATCGCTGAGTCTTTTCAATCTTCCTTTCCTACTGACCCATGTGACCTCTCCCCTCCTCCCCAGACTGCTCCTCTTCAGGTCGCTCCCCGCCAAGCTAAATCAGGCTCCGATTCTTCCTTGGCCTCTGCTCCTCCACCCTATAATCCTTCTATCACCTCCCCTGTGCACACCTGGTTCAGCTTACAGTTTCATTCTGAGACTAGCCCTCCCCCACCTGCCCAACAATTTCCTCTTAGAGCGGTGGCTGGAACTGAAGGCATAGTCAGGGTACATGTGCCTTTTTCTCTATCAGACCTCTCTCAGATCAGCCAGTGTTTAGGCTCTTTCTCATCAGACCCCACTAAATATATACAGGAATTCCAATATCTAACTCTGTCCTACAATTTAACCTGGAGTGACTGAAATGTCATCCTAACTTCTACCCTATCCCCAGATGAATGGGAAAGAGTTTTTTCTCCAGCCCAATCTCACGCTGATAACTGCCGGCTTCAAGAGCCAGACCTCCAGGAAGGCATTAGAGCAGTTCCCCGAGAGGATCCCCAATGGAACTATCAGGCAGATTCCCCAGGTATAGCTAGGCAAGATTATATAATTTCCTGCCTAGTTGAAGGGTGTAAAAAGGCAGCTTACAAAGCTGTTAAAGAACTGTTAAAGAACAAAGCTTAAAGAAACTACCCAAAGTAAACATGAAAACCCCGCCCAGTTCATGGCTGGTTTGGCAGCAACCGTGAGATGCTTTACAACGCTAGACCCTGAAAGGTCAGAAGGCCGTCTTATTCTCAATATGCATTTTATCACCCAGTCAGCTCCTGACATTAAAAAAAACTTCAAAAATTAGAATCCGGCCCTCAAACCCCACAAAAGGAATTAATTAACCTCGCCTTCAAGGTGTACAATAATAGAAAAGAGTTGCAATTACTTGCCTCCACTGTGAGAGAAACCCCAGCCACATCTCCAATACACAAGAACTTCAAAACACCTAAATCCACAGTGGTCAGGCATTCCTTCAGGACCTCCTCCCCCAGGATCTTGCTTTAAGTGCCAGAAATCTGGCCACTGGGCCAAGGAATGCCTGCAGCCCAGGATTCCTCCTAAGCTGTGCCCCATCTGTGTGGGACTTCACTGGAAATCGGACTGTCCAACTCACCAGGCAGCCACTCCCAGAGCCCCTGGAACTCTGGCCCAAGGCTCTCTGACTGACTCCTTCCCAGATCTTCTTGGCTTAGTGACTGAAGACTGACATTGCCCAATCACCTCGGAAGCCTCCTGGACCATCACAGATGCTTTGGGTAACTCTTACAGTGGAGGGTAAGTCCGTCCCCTTCTTAATCAATACGGAGGCTACCCACTCCACAGTACCTTATTTTCAAGGGCCTGTTTCCCTTGCCTCCATAACTGTTGTGGGTATTGACGGCCAGGCTTCTAAACCTCTTTAAAACTCCCCAACTCTGATGCCAACTTGAAGAACAGTTTTTATGCACTTCTTTTAAGTTATCCCTACCTGCCCAGCTCCCTTATTAGGTTGAGACATTTTAACTAAATTATCTCCTTCCCTGACTATTCCTAGGCTACAGCCACACCTCATTGCCGCCCTTTTCCCCAGTTCAAAGCCTCCTTCACATCCTCCCCTTGTATCTCCCCATCTTAATCCACCATTTTGGGACACCTCTACTCCCTCTTTGGTGACCGATCATGCACCCCTTACCATCCCATTAAAACCTAATCACCCTTACCTGATCAATGCCAGTATCCCATCCCACAGCATGCTTTAAAAGGATTAAACCCTGGTATCACTTTCCTGTTACAGCATGGCCTTTTAAAGCCTATAAACTCCCCTTACTATTCCCTCATTTAACTGTCCAAAAACTGGACAAGTCTTACAGGTTAGTTCAGGATCTGCACCTTATCAACCAAATTGTCTTGCCTATCCACCCCGTGGTGCCAAACTCAGATACTCTCCTATCCTCAATACATCCCTCCGCAACCCATTATTCTGTTCTGGATCTCCAACATGCTTTCTTTACTATTCCTTTGTACCTTTCAGCCCAGCCTCTCTTCACTTTCACTTGGATTGACCCTGACACTCATCAGGCTCAGCAAATTACCTGGGCTATACTACTGCAAGGCTTCATGGACAGCCCCCATTACTTCAGTCAAGTCCAAATTTCTTCCTCATCCATTACCTATCTCAGCATAATTCTTCATGAAAACACACATGCTCTCCCTGCTGAGCATGTCCAGCTAAACTTTCAAACCCCAACCCCTTCTACAAAACAACAACTCCTTTCCTTCCTGGGCATGGTTGGATAGTTTCACCTTTGGATACCTAGTTTTACCATCCTGACTAAACCATTATACAAACTCACAAAAACAAACCTAGCTGACCCCATAGATCCTAAATCCTTTCACCACTCATCTTTCCGTTCCTTAAAAACAGCCCTAGAAGCTGCTCTCACACTAGCTCTCCTTAACTCATCCCAACCCTTTTCATTACACACAGCCGAAGTACAGGGCTGTGCGGTTGAAATTCTTACACAAGAGCCAGGACCACGCCCTGTAGCCTTCCTATCCAAACTACTTGACCTCACTGTTTTAGACTGGCTCCCACATTATTCCAGATACCACACCTGACCCCCATGACTGTATCTCTCTGATCCACCTGACATTTACTCCATTTCTCTATATTTTCTTCTTTCCTGTTCTTCACCCTGATCACACTTGGTTTATTGATGTCAGTTCCACCAGGCCTAATCGCCACTCACCAGCAAAGGCAGGCTTTGCTATAGTATCTTCCACATCTATCATTGAGGCTCCTGCTCTGCCCCCTCCACTACCTCTCAGCAAGCCAAACTCATTGCCTTAACTCAGGCCCTCACTCTTGCAAAAGGAGTACATGTCAATGTTTATACTGACTCTAAATATGCCTTCCATATCCTGCACCACCATGCTATTATATGGGCAGAAAGAGGTTTCCTCACTACGTAAGGGTCCTCCATCATTAATGCCTCTTTAATAAAAACTCTTCTCAAGACCACTTTACTTCCAAAGGAAGCTGGAGTCATTCACTGCAAAGGCCATCAAAAGGCATCAGATCCCATCACTCAGGGCAACACTTATGCCGATAAGGTAGCTAAAGAAGCAGCTAGTGTTCCAACTTCAGTCCTTCACAGCCAGTTTTTCTCCTCATCAGTAACTCCCACCTACTCCGCCACTGAAACTTCCACCTATCAATCTCTTCCCACACAAGGCAAATTGTTCTTAGACCAAGGGAAATATCTCCTTTCAGCCTCACAGGCCGATTCTATTCTGTCGTCATTTCATAACGTCTTCCTTGTAGGTTGCAAGCTGCTATCCCACCTCTTAGAACCTCTTATTTCCTTTCCATTGTGGAAATCTATCCTCAAGGAAATCACTTCTCAGCGTTCCATTGGCTATTCTACTAGTCCTCATGGATTGTTCAGGCTCCCTCCCTTCCCTACACATCAAGCTTGGGGATTTGCCCCTGCCCAGGACTGGAAAATTGACTTTACTCACATGCCCCAAGTCAGGAAACTAAAATACCTTTTGGTCTGGGTAGACACTTTCACTGGGTGGGTAGAGGCCTTTCCCACAAGGTCTCAGAAGGCCACCGCAGTCATTTCTTCCCTACCGTCAGACATAATTCCTCGGTTTGGCCTTCCCACCTCTAAACAGTCTGATAATGAACCGGCCTTTTATTAGTCAAATCACCCAAGCAGTTCTCAGGCTCTTAATATTCAGCGGCTCCTGGTTTTATCTCAAACTACCACCTTAAGTCTCTCTTAAAGTGGATAAATGATCTTTGCTGACAGGGTACACTCCAATACTTTCACCCTGATGAAGTCTTATTCTTTACTTTTATACTCACTCTTACTCTTGTTTCCATTCTTATGCCACCCTCTACCTCTCCCCAGCTATCTCCACCACACTATCAATCTCGCTCACTCTCTCCTAGCTGTTTCTAATCCTTCTTTAACAAACGATTGCTGGCTTTGCATTTCTCTTTCCTCCAAAATTGCCGAGGCCTCGACTTAACTCACTGCTAAAAAAAGAGGACTCTGTATATTTTTAAATGAAAACTGTTTTTACCTAAATCAATCTGGCCTGGTGTATGACAACATAAAAAAACTCAAGAATAGAGCCCAAAAAACTCACCAACCAAGCAAGTAATTACACTGAACCCCCTTGGGCACTCTTGAATTGTAGATGTCCTGGGTCCCCCAATTCTTAGTCCTTTAATACCTGTTTTTCTCCTTCTCTTATTCAGACCTCGTGTCTTCCGTTTAGTTTTTCAATTCATTCAAAACTGTATCCAGGCCATCACCAATCATTCCATACAACAAATGTTTCTTCTAACAACCCCACCATATCACCCCTTACCACAAAATCTTCCTTCAGCTCAATCTCTCCCACTCTAGGTTCCCATGCTGCCCCTAATCCCGCTCGAAGCAGCCCTGAGAAACATCGTCCATTATCTCTCCGTACCACCCCCTAAAAATGTTTGCTGCCCCAAAACTTCAATACTATTTTATGTTATTTTTCCTATTGATATAAGAAGACAAGAATGTCAGGCCTCTGAGCCCAAGCTCAGCCATCATATCCCCTGTGACCTGCATGAATACATCCAGATGGCCTAAGAATCACAAAAGAAGTGAAAATGGCCGGTTCCTGCCTTAACTGATGACATTCCGCCATTGTGATTTGTTCCTGCTCCACCTTAACTGAGCATTTAACCTTGTGAAATTCCTTCTCCTGGCTCAGAAGCTCCCCCACAGTGACCTCCGCCCCTGCCTGCAAGAGAAAAACCCCCTTTGACAGTAATTATCCACTACCCACCCAAATCCTATAAAACAGTGCCACCCCTATCTCCCTTCACTGACTCTTTTTGGACTCAGCCTGCCTGCACCCAGGTGATTAAAAGACTTTACTGCTCACACAAAGCCTGTTTGGTGGTCTCTTCACAGGGACGTGTGTGACACTTTCTAAACCTAACACTTGCTCAGTACATAAGTGTTAATGTACATTTTCATTTCCATCTTGGCTTTGTGGGTGCCTAAATCAGCAAATCTCTCCTTTCCTCTTTTTTCTTTTCTTTTTTTTTTTTTTTTTTTTTCCTATTTTGGGATTATTGCCTCTGGAAGCTATGCCTTTAGTTTTGTCTCTGGTTAGTAAGAGGAAAAGGAGAAAAAGGATAGCACCTCTAGGCAGTAGCCTCTCTCTGGGATGGCCCTGATGACTCCAATATAATCAGTCCATCCCCCTCCCTCTTCTTTTCTCTTCAGCAAATATTTTATTTATTTATTTACTTTGACATAGGGTCTCACTCTGTCACCCAGGCTGGAGTGCAGTGGTATGATCCTGGCTTACTGCAGCCTCCTCCTCCCAGGCTCTGGTGATCCTCCCATCTCAGCCCCCTAAGTAGCTAGGACTATAGGCATGCTCTACCATGCCTGGCTAATTTTTTGCATAATTTTTTTTTTGTAGAGACAGAGTTTTGCCATGTTGCCCAGGATGCAAAATATTTTAGAATGACTCGCATTTATGAGTGGATACAGGTTTCCCCTCTCTCTTTGGATATTTACCTGACAAGCCCCTGGTAGTCCTGAGTGGCTTCCCGTCCTGATTTATAATCTCGAATGATCTAAGAAACCTCAAGCGTCTTAGGGGGAGTGGGATCAAAGTGCCCCTTCCCACTTTGCTCTGCTTTTTAAAAACATTGAGCCACCTATCTCCGTGGATGAGATCTGAGATATCCAATGGAGTTGGGATATGAAAGCAACAGCAGCAAGGGAGGCAACAGAGAAGCTCTCAGCAGCCCTGGAGGCACAGAGCTCTACGAGGTGCCGTGGAGGACTCTCTGAGAAAGGAGGGCTGCCTGACACCAAGAGAGAAGAGAGGAAATTACAAATGGTCCCTGACTTACAATGGCTCGATTTCTAAGTTTTTACTTTCTGATGGTGTGCAAGTGATACATTCAGCAAAAACCATGCTTCCAGTACCCATACAACCATTCTTTTACTTTCAGTACGGTATTCAATAAATTACAGGAGATATCCAATACATTCTTATCAAGTAGTCTTTGTGTAGATGATTTTGCCCAACTCTAGGCCAATTTAAGTTTTGAGCATGTTTAAGGCAGGCTAGTCTAAGCTATGATGTTCAGTAGGTTAGGTATGTTAAATGCATTTTTGACTTACAACATTTTCAAGTTAGGATGGGTTTACTGGGACATAACCTCACCACAAGCTGAGAAGCATCTGTGTTGTTGTAATTCAACAACACATTGAACAGTGGGGAGAGAGCCACCCACCCAAGCTGTAGCCCACTGGACTCCTCAACTTGTCTTTATTGCTGAGGCTGGAACAGAGTGATATGCACTCAGCACCAAAGGAGATCTCCATTCTATCAGCAGGAGTTCTTCTTCAAATCAAAATCACTCCGAAGTACACTGAGAAATAGCCAATCCACATAGCCCAGTAACTTCAGATCCCTGGCAATGATAGTTTAAGTATCCCCCTCTTGCTGGAATCATGGATAGGAAGTGGTATCCTGGGCCATATTATTGAGATTGGGACAGGATCCACACTATAGGATGGAAAGTCCTGGCAGAAACACAAAGTGGTGCACACCTTGCCAGCAGGATATAAAGTCGTCTCTATTGGTGGAGCCAATCAGGATAGCAAATTAGTGAGCCATGAGCAGTTAAAAAACATCCCCTGGGAACTTTCTACCCATTTTAAATGATCCATTCTCATCACCAGTTGTGTTGTAAATGGTGGAGTAAGTGTCATTGGTGGGATCTTTGGGGATCATTCCAACACAGTTGCAGAAGTCATACTTGAAGAGACATATAAAATTAAATGATTTGTTTTACTCATAGTTCCTAAAAGGTGAAGCATGACATGCCACACAGGGAGCCCGTTAGAAGGAGCTCCTAGAGAAAGGGCTCAAGTTAGCAGGTGGGGAGATGAGACCGGGTGGACCCCTGGGAAAATGCCTTTATTAGAGTCACAGTAAAGTACACAAGCAAATGGCATGAGGGAATTTCACTGGTGTGTTTGAATATCACTAGGTTACAGTAGGGGAGGGCAAGAACTGGTATCAGGGACCAGCCTTATCATATTGGCACCTCATTGCGTGGGCAGGGTGCTCACAGCCTGTTTGTGGGGACATCAAGGCATGAGAAAAATATGAAGTTCTAAAATTTTAAACCACAACAGAAAATATTTATTTCTTCAGACAATTTTGAGGTATTATGTTGCATCCTTTCATTTCAACCTAAAGAACTCCCTTTAAGATTTCTTGTAGGACAGGTCTAGAGGAGATGAACTCTGTCAGCTTTTGTGTATCCAGGAATATCTCGATTTATCCCATATTTTTGAATGATGGTCTTATCAGGTATAGAAGTCTTAGTTGATGGCTTTTCTTTTCTTTCAGAACTTTAAACATAACATCCCACTGCCTCTGGCCTCCAATGCTTCTGATAAGAACTCAGCCAACAATCTTACTGAGGATCTCTTGTATGTGAGGAATGGCTTCTCTCTTGCTGCTTTCAAGATTCTTTGTTTCATTTTAGCTTTCAATAGTTGGATTATAATATATCTTAGTGTGGGTCTCTGAGTTTATCTTACCTGGCATTTGTTCAGCAACTTATATTTGTAGATTCACATATTTAATCAACTTTGGGAGGACTTGGGATATTATTTCTTCAAATAACCATCTTCTCCTTCCTCTCTGTTTCTCTTCCTCTTCTGTTATTCTCATAATGTGTATGTTCATCCACTTAGTGGTATCCCATAAGTCCTTCAGGTTCTGTTCCTTTTTCTTTATTCTTTTTTGTCTTTCTATCCTGGAGACTCAATAATTTCATTTCAAGTTTTCTGATTCTTTCTTCCTCCTGCTAAAATCTATTATGAAACTCCTCTAGCGAATGTTGCATTATCATGACTTTCAGCTCTTCTATTTCTGTTTGGTTCTATTTTAATATTTTTTATCTCTTAGTTGATGTTCTCATTTTGTTAATACATCTTTTCCTAATTTCCTTTAGATTTTTGTCCACGTTTTCCTTTAGCTATTTGAGCATTTTTGAAATGGAATTTTGCCCTTGTTGCACAGGCTGGAGTGCAATGGTGTGATCTTGGCTCACTGCAACCTCTGCCTCCCCAGTTCAAGTGATTCTCCTGCCTCAGCCTCTCTAGTAGCTGGCATTACAGGTGCCTGCCACAACGCCCAGCTAATTTTTTGTGTTTTTAGTAGAGATGGGGTTTCACTACATTGGCCAGGCTGGTCTTGAACTCCTGACCTCAGGTGATCCACCCACCTCAGCCTCCCAAAGTGCTGGGATTACAGGCATGAGCCACCGCACCTGGCTCTCTTTGAGCATTTTAAGACAGTTGTTTTAAAGTCTTGGTCTAGTATCAGGATGGGACCAATATATTGCAAGAGTTCTTATAAGTAGGAGGCAGGAGAGTAAGAATTAAAGAAGGACATGTGATAATGAAAGCAAGAGGTTGGAGTGATAGTAAGATGAAACTGTGAAAAAAGGAATGTGAACAACCTCTAGAACTGGACAGGTAAGAGACAGAAGCCTAAAAATATTATCTCTGCTGATACCTGCTTAGATTGTATATATTTAAAAGTGCTTTGAGATATATATAGGTAGATAGATATTGTTACAGTCAAGCAAATGAATATAACCATCATCTCAAATAGCTACCTTGTTTTGTGTGTATGCCAAGTGCATCTAAAATCTTACCTTTTAGTAAAAATTGTGAGAATAATTCAATATTATTAACTAGGGTCTTCATGCTGTACATGACATCTGTAGAGTTTTTCATCCTAACGATCTGCAATTTTGTATCTTTCGACATACATCTCCCCATAACCTTCCCCAACCCTACTCCAGGAAACCAAAGTTTTATTCTCCACCTTTGCATATTTGAGTTCTTTTCTTTTTTCTTGGTTACAGCTCAACAATTCCAATTTTGTACTTGTGACCACCGGAAGTGTACGATAATACATTTCTATTGTTGTAGTACATACATTTAGTAGTAATTTGTCAGAGCATCGTTAGGAATCTAATGTAATGTGATTATGCTATGGCTAAAAAATTTCAGGGCTTAAAAAATGTTTTATTTCTTATTTAAGCCATATGTTCATTGTGCGTTGAGAGTTATGTATTTTATAGTCACTCAGAAATCCAAAGTGAGGAAGTAGCTTCCATCAGAGCCTTGTGGGTCTTTGTGGAAGGGAGCAGTTGATCCACAGAGGCTTTTGCCATTAAATGCACAGACCACAAATTATACCCATCACTTCTGCTCGCAACTCAGTGGTCTAAAGAAGTCACATGGCGCCACCCAATGCAATGATTCAGAAAAAGCAACACTCCATGTGGCCAGAAAGTAGAGAGACAAATATTTGGCAAAGCATGATATTTCAAAGGAGGGTTCAGGAGTTCTACTCAGGTCCTCAACCTCATGCTCTACCATTAAACTGGACCTGACTCTGCCACAGTGTTCTCACTTGTAATACAGTCTCATGGTACAGGCTTGTTGTGAGGGTTAAATGAGATAATACATGCAGTGTGCTGAGCTCAAGGCCCACTCCTGGTGTATACTCAGTCAATGAAAGTCATTGATAAACACTTTAGAAAACATAAGCATCACATAAGGATGATTAAATGACTGTTTTGTGTTTTCCTCCAGGAGCGGCAGGTGAGGAGGAGCTGCGGGTGATTCAGCCTGAGAAGTCAGTGTCAGTCACAGCTGGAGGTTTGACCACTCTGTGACCTCCCTTTGCCCTTGGGGCCCATCAGGTGGTTCAAAGGAACTGAAACAGGGCAGGAACTAATCTACAGTTCAAAAGGAGGCCACTTTCCCAAGATAGCTTGCATTTCAGACATCACAAAGAGAAACAATACAGACTTTTCCATGTGCATCACTAGCATCACAAGAGCCAACACTGGCACCTACAACTGTGTGAAGTTCTGGAAAGGGGGCCCTGACATGGAGCTTAAATCTGGACCAGGCACTGAGTTGTCTGTGCATAGTGAGTACAGTGTGGGCCTCCTTCGTCCCCCAGTGTGTGACAATAAGTCAATAGTAACACCTTCCATTCATTGAGCAACAATCGGGTGTGGTGGTGGGTACGCATTTTCATGAACTGGTGTCACCCCCTTCTACAGATCAGTTAAGTTAAGGCCTGATGCATCATGCTATTCACTCAGGCACCCATGGCCTGTAAATGGTGGGTAAAGTCTGTAACACTGGTCTGCCTTCTCCACAACTTGTCTCTTCTCATCTGGCCCAGCCTTTGGTTTCTGCAGATGAGGGAACTGAAAGATTGGGTGACTTGCCCAGGCACAAGGCCAGATCTTGCCTTCTGCCTCCACAGAGCATTTTCCCCCTCTGGGTGGCCGAGTCTCCTTTTTATATAACTGGTACTCACTGAAAACCTACTATGTGCCAGGCTCTGCCCTGGTTGCTGTGTAAGCTGCAATGAACAAAACAGGGAAAAACTTGTCTCTCACAAACCTTACCCTCTCTTTCCTTCCAATGAGAAGGAATTTGTTCGGGGTGGGAGGGGGATTGTGTTTTTCTTAGTTTAATCTTCAAAAAACATCACATTGGGAAGATTTCTGAGAGGCACAGATCCATTGTTTAATCTGATGGCCCTGCTGGGCATAGATGCCGTGAGCTTTGGTGTTTGTGGATCTGTTAGAGAAACTCTTGTGTGATTCAGGGATTGACTTACACAGGTACTGTAGGCTGCAGTCAGAGGTGGTTCATCTCAGAATATCCCTCTCTCCAGGGAAGAGGCCTCCCATGTGAGTGACTTAGAGGTTTCCCAGTAGAGTTAGCAAAGACGCTCACTTTGGGTTTCCTGCCAAAGATCTAGATTCACAATCTAACTCCTGATCCTGGGATGTTAGCACAGGAGGGATCTTCAGACCAGCCAGTCCAACCCCCTGTTGACAAACAAGAGCCTGAGGCCAGGAAATGACATGGGTCTTGCCCACAGTCACAGGGCCAGTTAGTGATGGGATCCAAATTAGAGCTCAGATCCGATTCCAGGCAGGTCCTTCTTGCCCTGGTGTTAGACACCGTCTCCACAGAAGAGCCTGGTACATCCTAGGTGCTGAATAGATGTTCCTTGAACATAACCACTGAGAGGCAGCCAGCACTTCCCCTTTTCACCACCTTCCCAAGGTTCAGAACACCCCTGACATTCAGACCTCGAGCCTGACTGGAAAACAGTAAGTATTTTATTTTATTTTATTTTATTTTATTTTAATTTTGAGATGGAGTCTCCCTCTGTCACATAGGCTGCAGTGCAGTGGCAACATTTCGGCTCACTGAGACCTCTACCTCCCAGATTCAAGTGATTCTCCTGCCTCAGCCTCCTGAGTAGCTGGGACTACAGGTGCCTGCCACTGTGCCAGGCTAATTTTTGTATTTTTAGTAGAGAAAAGGTTTCACCATGTTGGCCAGGCTGGTCACGAACTCCTGACCTCAGGTGATCCACCCACCTCGGTCTTCCAAAGTGCTGGGATTACAGGCATGAGGCACCACATGTGACCCGTTTCATTTTATATAAAGATTCTATATCAGGACATAGACAGCTGCTCAATTAATACCTGTAGAGTACTCCAACTTATGGAGCTATCAAACTTAGTTTACAGTCTTCTGTTAATGGATATGTAAGTTGTTCCCAACCTTGGGCTACTAAAACAACGCTGCAGTGGGTGGCCTTGTATATGTACATGCGTCATCCTGCTCAGGTGGAAGACACCCACTGGAAGTGACATTGCCGGGTCACAGGGTGTGTGTGTTTTAAGGTATGTAGCTATTGCTAATGTTTTCTTCTTGATGTTGAAATAATCAGCACCCCCCACCACCACCCTGCATCCCTTGAACATAGGTAGGGAAGGTGGTTTTACCCTGATTTTGCAGATATTACAAAGACATTGAAATTCCACGATGGTTCATATTGTGCCTAGGCAAGCACCCTTATTAAGGCTCAGGAGTAACTCAGATGTGCTGACTCCTAGTAGAGTGTTCATTCCTGTTTTCCAAGCCATTAACCTAAACGATGCCCTGGATTAGATTGGAGAAAAGTGAGGAGGGGACCAAAGAGTGGCAGCTGTCCCAGATGCTGTGTCTTCATCTGGCATTTTCTCCTTATAACCAGTGCTATGAGAGGGAGACCATTTGCTGCCTCATTTATAGATGAGGACACAGGTTTAGAGAGGGGACCTGACTTGTGAGCAGGCAGAGGAGCCAAGTTTTGACCCCCAGCTGCCTGACACACAGCCCTTGTCTCCGCAACACCCAGCTGTGCTTGCTGAAGTGTAGGGAAATGCTTCAACCTTCTCGTTCTAAACTGTTGTATTGTTCTGTTCTATATCACTAAACATTAAAAAAAAAAAGAAAAAAAAGGCTTCTTCTTGTGTGGGTAGGAGGGGCTGGCTTGACAACCCCCATCAGAAAGTTCCTGCAGGCATTATATGTTATGTTGAACCTGTCCTAAAAGATATGTCTTGGCATTTAGGACTCTTCTTACATGTGCCATTTCTCCTTCATCGAGCAGCATCCATGGAGCTGAGTCCAGCCTCCTGCCTTTCAGCAGACCACACTGAAACCACCTTTGCAAAATTATGAGAGACAGTGAAAGAGATCTAACTTAACTGACTCCATCTTGCTTCTAACCTCCAAGCTGTCCTCGTTCATTCCTGGACGTAGGCTGAACTAACTTTGGGAGAAACTTAGTTTATAGTTTAAACAAAGATGGTAACAGCCCTTTCCCAAAGCAGACCTTCTTGCCTGGAGACTAGAATGCCTTTGTAGGACTAACATTAGCCACAAGATGAGAAATTATGGTTTAGGAGTCATGCAGCTGGAGGCTACAAGATTCTGACCCTCCCTAAACTGCTCCTAAGATCAGTGCTTGAGATATTTGGCAGACTCTGAACTTGATGTATCATCCGGCACCACCCAGATCCAAAAACTGGCTCCTCTGCTCTTATGGCCACCTGCCCAGGAACTGACTCAGCTCAGGAAGACAGCTTCGACTCCCTATGGTTTCATCCCTGACCAATCAGAACTCCTGGCTCACTGGCTTCTCCTTACCCACCAACTTACCCTTAAAAACTCTGCTCCCCAAATGCTCGGAGAGACTGATTTGAGTAATAATAAATCTCTGGTCTCCCGCAAAGCCAGAATTGTGTGAATTACTCTTTCAAGCAATTCCCCTGTCTTCATAAATCGACTCTGTCTAGGCAATGGGCAAGGTGAGCCACTTGGGCCATTACAACGTGCCCACCCACTCATGGTGCCGAAGACTAAGGATGTGGGAATGAGACATTTCCTAGAGTTCTCATGCCCCGTGTGAGCAAGAGTTTACATTCTTTTTTGGGCTATTAGGAACCCAAGGTCTTCTGTTTATGGGTACAGAGTAACCATAGGGAGCCCAAGGGGAGAACTACAGAGTAACCAGCCCTGGGCACCCAGAAGGGAGACTTCTCCCTAGAATTGCATTAAGTCAAGAATCTGAAAGGGACAAGGGAGGTGGCAGTCATTGTTGGGGATGTTGAAGTTCTAGTGCTTACTCTTTGATGAACAGGGAAGCTTGGCAAAACACAGGAAATGCCCAAGTCATGCACGGGGGATAAGAAGACAGTGCCTTCATCTCTCTTAGTCTCAGTTTTCTCATCTGTAAAATCATGACAATCTTGGACTCCTTTAGGAGAGTGGAAAGGACTTAAGATTCTCTCTGTAAATCACCTAACACATTGTAGGCACTCTCCCAAATCACGTGTTATTTCAAGGCTGTGTGATCTCAGGCAACCCAGTTCCCTTTGCTGAGCCTGTTTCTTCATATGTAGGGTGTAGATAATTACACCAATCATTCCAGGATGTTAAGAGGATACAGCTAATCTGGGGAGAGAATAGACCAGTAAATGATGGGGTTGTTTTCCCAAGGTTGTGTGATCTTGGTAAAGTCTTGGCTACCCTCGAGTCCTCAGTTTTCCCATTTGTGAAATGGTGATGATCATGGTCACCATTATGGACTCTGTGGGGATTGGAGAGGATGTGCACAGAGTTCTGGATGGTGATGGTGTTAGGGTTATTACTGAGTGTCAGTAGCACAGTGGTTAGGAGAGCATGGGTTGGAGCCCCATCACCTGTGCCACATCTCAGCTCTGACATTTCCCAGCTCTGTGATCTGGGACAAGGCACTCCACCATCGTGGGCCTCGGTATCCTTACCAGTCAATTGTAACTTGACTTGGGAATATCTTCTCCAACTGTATGTGTTGTTTGTTTACTCTGCTGATTATTTATTTTGCTGTTCAGAAGCTTTTTAGTTTAATTAGGTCCCATTTATTCATTTTTGTTTTTGTTGCATTTGCTTTTGGGGCTTAGTCATGAATTCTTTGCTGAGGCTGATGCCTAGAAGAGTTTTTCCAACCTTGTCTTCCAGAATTTTTATAGTTCTAGGTTTATATTTAAGTCGTTGATTCATCTTGAATTGATTTTTGTATGAAGTGAGAGATGAGAATCCAGTTTCATTCTTCTACATGTAGCTTGCCAGTTTTCCCGGCACCACTTATTAAATAGGGTGTCCATTCCCCAACTTATATTTTTGCATGTTTTGTTGAAGATCAATTGGCTGCACATATTGGGCTCTATTTCTTGGTTCTTTATTCTGTTCCATTGGTCTATGTGCCTACTTTTATACTAGTACCATGCTATTTTGGTAACTATAGCCTTGTAGTATAATTTGAAGTCTGGTAATGTGATGCCTTCAGGTCTGTTCTTTTTGCTTAGTATTGCTTTGGCTATGCAGGCTCTTTTTTTTTGTTCCATATGAATTTTAGGATTGTTTTTTCTAATTCTGTGAAAAATGCTCCTAGCATTTTTATGGGAATTGCATTGAATTTGTAGATTGCTTTGGGCATTATGCTCATTTCCTTAATATTGATTCTTCCAATCCATGAGCATGGGATGTGTTTCCATTTGTTTGTGTCACCTATGATATCTTTTAGCAGTGTTTTGGAGTTCTTGTTGTAGAGATTTTTCACTTTCTTGGTTAAGTATATTCCTATGTATTTTATTTATTTTACAACTGTTGTTTGTTTTCCTAGGTATTTTATTTTGCAGTTGTTTGGGACTGAGTTCTTCATTTGATTCTCAGTTTGGTGGTTGTTGGTGTGCAGCAGTGCTGCTGAGTTGTGTACGTTGATTTTGTAACCTGAGACTTTATCAAATTCATTTATCAAATCTAGGAGTCTTTTGGAGGAGTCTTTAGGATTTTCTAGGTATATAATCATATCATCTGCAAAGAGCAATAGTTTGACTTCCTCTTTTCCCATTTGAATGCTCTTTACTTCTTTCTCTTGCCTAATTTCTCTGGCTAGGATATCCAGAACTATGTTGAATAGAAGTAGTGAAAGTGGGCATCCCTGCCTTATTCTTGTTCTTGGGGGAATGCTTTCAACTTTTTCCCATTCAGTAGGATATTGGCATAGGTTTCTCATCTATGGCTTTTATTTTTTTGAGGTAGGACTCTTCTATGCCTAGTTTTTTGAGAGGAGAGTTTTTATCATAAAGGAATGCTGGATTTTGTTGAATCCTTTTTCTGCATCTATAGAGATGATCATATGGCTTTTGTTTTTAATTCTGTTTATGTGATGTATCACATTTATTGACTTGTGTATGTTAAACCATCCCTGCATCCCTGGGTTGAAGTCCACTTGATCATGATGAACTATCTTTTTGTTGTGCTGTTGAATTTGGTTAGCTAGTATTTTGTTAAGGATTTTTGCATCTATGTTCATCAGGGAAATTGGTCTGTAGTTTTCTTTTTTTTGTTATGTCCTTTTCTGGTTTTGATAATAGGGTGATACTGGCTTCATAGAATGATTTAGGGAGGATTCCTTCTTTCTCTATCTTTTGAAATAGTTTCAGCAGGATTGATATCAATTCTTCTTTGGATGTCTGATAGAATTCAGTTGTGAATCCATCTGGTCCTGGACCTTTTTTTTTGTTTGCCATTTTTTTGATTACCGATTCAATCTCGCTACTTGTTATCGGTCTGTTCAGAGTTTCTATTTCTTCTGGATTTAATATAGGAGGGTTGTATGTTTCCAGGAATTCATCCATTTCCTCTAGGTTTTCTAGTTTATGTGCATAAAGGTGTTCATAGTAGTCTCAAATGATCTTTTGTATTTCTGTGGTGTCAGTAGTAATGGCTCCAGTTTCATTTCTAATTGGTCTTATTTGCATCTTTTCTCTTCTTGGTTAATCCAGCTAATGGTCTATCTATTTTGTTTAGTTTTTCAAAGAACCAGCTTCTTGTTTTATTGATCTTTTGTATTTTGTTGTTGTTGTTTGAATTTCATTTAGTTCTGCTCTGAGCTTTGTTATTTCTTTCCTTCTTCTAGCTTTGGGTTTAGTTTGGTCTTGTTTCTTTAGTTCCTTGGAGCATGATATTAGGTTGTCAATTTGTGCTCTGTCAGACTTTTTGATGTAGGCATTTAGTGCTGTAAACTTTCCTTTTAACACTGCTTTTGCTGTTTCCCAGAGGTTTCGATAACTTGTGTCATTATTATCATTCAATTCAAATAATTTTTTAATTTCCATCTTGATTTCATCATTAACCGAGTTATCATTCAGGAGTGGATTATTTAATTTCTGTGTATTTGTATAGTTTGGAGGGCTTCTTTTGGAGTTAATTTCTAGTTTTATTCCACTGTAGTCTGAGATGATACTTGATATGATTTTGATTTTTAAAAATTTATTGAGACTTGTTTTGTGACCTAGCATATGGTCTATTTTGTGCTGATGAGAAGAATGTATATTCTGTAGTTTGGGGGTAGAATGTTCTGTAAATATCTGTTAAGTCCATTCGTTCTAGGGTGTAATTTAAGTCCATTATTTCTCTGTTGACTTTCTGTCTTGATGATCTGCCCAGTGCTGTCAGTGGTATATTAAAGTCTTCTACTATTACTGTGTTGCTGTCTGTCTCATTTCTTAGATCTATTAGTAGTGGTTTTATGAATCTGGGAGATCTAGTGTTAGGTGCTTATAAATTTAGGATTGTAATATCTTCTTGTTGGATTGATCCTTTTATAATTATATAGTGACCATCTTTGTCCTTTTATACTGTTGTTGCTTTGAAGTCTGTTTTGTCTGATATAAGAAAAGCTACTCCTGCTTGCTTTTGGCTTCCATTTGTGTGGAATATCTTTTTCCACCATGTTACCTTGAGTTTATATGAATCCCTCTATGTTAGGTGAGTCTCAGGAAGACAGTAGATATTTGGATTGTGATTTTTTATCCATTTTGCCATTCTGTATCTTTTAAGTGGAGCACTTAGGCCATTTACATTCAACATTAATATTGAGAAGTGAGGTACTGTTCTCTTCATCATGTTAAATGTTACCTAGATAATTTTTTTTTCATTGTGTTATTGTTTTGTAGGCCCTGTGAGTTTTAGGCTTCCAAGAGATTCTATTTTGGTGCATATTGGGTTTTTGTTTCAAGGTTTAGAACACCTTTTAGCATTTATTGTAGTGCTGGTATGGTAGTAACAAATTCCCTGAACATTTGTTTGTCTGAAAATTACTTTATTTCTTCTTTATTTATTAAACTTAGTTTTGCAGGGTACAAAATTCTTGGCTGAAAATTGTTCTGTTTAAGGAGATTGAAGAGAGGACCCCAATCCCTTCTAGCTTGTAAGGTGTCTGCTGAGAAGTCTGCTGTTAGTTTGATAGGTTTTCCTTTGTAGGTTTCCTGATACTTTTGTCTTACTGCTCTTAGAATTCTTTCCTTCATGTTGGCTTTAGATAGCCTGATGACTATATGCCTTGGTGAAGATGTTTTTGCAATGAATTTCCCAGAAGTTCTTTGAGCTTCTTGGATTTGGATATCTAGATCTCTAGCCAGGCCAGGGATATTTTCCTCAATTATTCCCTCAAATATCTTTTCCAGATTTGTTATTTTCTTTTCTCCCTAGGAACATCAATTATTCTTAGATTTGGCCATTTTACATAATCCTGTATTTCTTGGAGACTTTGTTCATTTCTTTTGACCCTTTTTAAAAAAATTTTTGCCTAATAGAATTAATTCAAAAGCCTTGTCTCCAAGCTCTGAAATTCTTTCTTCTACTTGTTTTAGTGTATTATTAAAAGTTTCTACTGCATTTTGTAATTCCCTAAGTGTGTCTTTCATTTCCAGAAATTCAAATTGGTTTTTCTTGATGATATCTATCTGTCTAGAAAATTTTTCATTCATATCCTAAACTTAGAAAAATTTTTTATGATGGTTTTCACCTTTCTCTGATATCTCCTTGAGTAGCTTAATAAGTCCTTATCTGGTATTTTCAAATATTTCATCTTGGTTTGCATCCATTGCTGTAGAGCTAGTGTGATCCTTTGGGGGTATTATAGAACCATATTTTGTCATATTACCAGAGTTTATATTCTGGTTCCTTCTTATTTGGGTAGGCTATTTCTTCTAACTATTCTTGAATTTATGTTTGATTTGACTAAGTTTGTTGTTTGTTTTAATTTCTTTTTCCCCTTAAGGATGAGACTTTAATACTTATAGTTAGTTACAGCCTAATTTGGTTCTTGGTGCTTCCAGGGATGAAGACTGTAAGAGTTCCCTGGTTATAAAGTCTTTGTATAATGGCTTTCCCACATGCTAGTTGTAGTAGGGGCCAATAGGGGAGGTGTCCCTGGGTAGGGACTAGTTGTGGCTACAGCAGATGGGCAAATGCGATACCCAATGGTGGGCAGAGGTCCCAGTTTTGACAGAGGTTCTTGGAGGAGCTCTCAGTGAGTTGCACTGAGGTCTTATCAGAAGGAAGGGTTGAAGCCACCTTAGCTCCCCTGCCAGGTCAGCAGGAAATTTATTCACCTCTCAGACACACTCCAGTCCTAGTACTCCAGCATTCAGATCAGACAGGCACCTCTTCATGGGTAGGAATGTTGATGTTCAAGTAGAGAGGAATTGTGACTCTGTCTCTCATGCAAGCCGGCACCTGGAGGATGCTCCTCCTGTGGGGATGCCATCACCCTGACGTGTTCCAGAAAGGGCGTCTATAGTTTAACCCACACTTAACTCCCATGGGAAAAGCCCTAACCATGCCTGTGGTGGTGGACAAGGGAGAAAAGATATTTCCTTATCCAAAGCCCTTCATGGGCACCAAGGCTGTCTGACTGTTGGGCTAGAGCTGAAGATTTTCCCTGCTGAGGCCAGCACTACAATTGTGCCTCTGTTAACTTCCCACCAGTGGAAATATCTGATGCTCAAGTCCTGTTGTCTGGATTCCTTTGTCTCACAGGATGTTCCCTTGGTGTGGTGCACTCCCCCTTCTCCTAAGAGTGGGGATCCCTGGGAGCCAGGCTACTGTAAGTGTTATTGTTCCTCTGGGTCTAGCCATCCAGTGAAGTTGCCACACTCCAGGCTCATGTTGGGGAGTGTCTGCAAGGGATCTGGTGATACAACCTGTCCTCAAGTCTCCCAGCAGTGGGTAGCAGCACTAGCTCTAATGGTGGTAGCAGGTGAGTGATGTAGACTCTGTGAGATTCCTTGTTTATTGATAGCCTTAGTGTACTCACTTTCTTGAATACCAGTTAGAGTGGAATGATCTAATCATATGGACAGGCTCAGGACCTCCTGGTTAGCCAGAGTGGTGCAGGCAGTAGTGATAACGGAGATTTCACAGCTGTCTTCTCCTTCTTGGGCGCAGTGCTATTCCACCAGGAGATGCTATCATGGACTGTGTTGGTTGGCTTCCAGCCAGGAGGTGACGCTTGCAAAAGAGCACCAGCCGCTGTAGTAGCAGTAGGATTTTTGCTTGCCTTATGTTGCCCAGTGCGGGTACTCTGGTTTCTCAGGCAATGAGGAGAGGCATATAGTTCTCAAGATTTTCTGTCCTTTATGTGAAGCTACCAGGGCAAGTGGCAGAGCAAAGCCAGATGGGAGCTGGGTCAGGCGGGTTTGCCCTCTGAGTCTTTGCTGGCAGGGTACACAGCAGCCCCTGTGGGTGTTGTGGGGATGGGAGCAGGTCTCAGGTCACTGGGTTGACCTTCCGGAGGGGAGTATTGCTGCCTGTGCTGCACAGAAGGGTTCGCACATGGAATGGTGAGTAGCAGGCAGCGGTAAGCCCCCACACAGTTCCCACGTACTTGGCGAGGCAGATCCACTCCCACAGTGTTACACTGGCAGCAGTGAGCTAAGTTCCAGTCAGCCTGCACTCAGAACTCCAGTTGCCCATGTGAAAATAACAGCCGCTTTCAGACCACGCCTCTCCCCATCCACTGGAAAGCCTGGTGCCTGGCTCCTGCACTTGCGGTTGCAGCCCACTTTTCACTCTCCCCTGCCCTGGTCCTGGCCAAGGGAGTTCATCCCCACCCAAGGTTCTATTGTGAAACCCCCTTGGGGGCTTCCTTCAACCTGAGACCAACTGCTTGAACTTTTCGGCTGTCCTCCGGAGAGTCCCCTGTGTGGAACAGTAGGGAATGGCTTCCATCGGTCCACACGAGGATCTGGAAGTGCATTCACGGGTCTTCCCGCCGTTGCTCCTACTTTTATATTCCACAGGCCTCCCCAAGTCGGTTCCTGCGCTGGTTGGAGTTAGAGCCTTCCCCCATTGCCTGGACTTTCAGGGTCCCTGGTGGGGGTGTCTATCCCCAAGGCAGTCTCTCCCTTCCTCTCACTCTGGGGACTCGCAGCCCTTGCCTGACTCACAGTGTAGGCGGCAGCCTCCTGCTTCCTTCAAAAGGTCTGTCGATTCCTTCGGTTTTCCTATTCAGTTTCTGTGTCGCTTCTTGGAAATAAGTTCTCAGTGTGACTCTCTACACACTATTTTTTCCTTCCAAGTGGGAGAAGTATGCTAGCAATGCGTCTAATCTGCCATCTTGAAAAGCTTTTGTGGTATATCTTTTGCTATTCCTATATTTGTACCTATTTATATTACTTTGTTTGGGTGTGTCTCTTTGTGCTGGATGCTTGGAGATTTCCCTGACATGATCACCCAGCTCACCAACTTACTACTTATTTATATATCTCAGCTACTAAACCTATTAATTTAAAAAATTCAGCACTAATTATGTTTTCATTTCCAGTCTGTGTTTTGGTATTTTCCTTAGATGCCTGTTGTTATTTCATGCCTGCCTATTCTTGTTTCATAAATACCTGATGTTTTATGGATTTACTTCGGTTTTCTTTATAAGGTTATTGAATATACTAATTTTAAAGACCTTTTCACATTGACTTTTTTTAATGTTTTCTCTGTGGAGAAGTTCTCTTTATTGCTGTTTTTGCTTTTAGTTATTGTTGTTCTTGGATTGGTTAGCTAGCTCTCATGGTGCTGCTGTTCTCCAAATCTTTGGAGATTCCTGCATGCACTGCTATCTTTCCAGGAATAACGCCCCAAGTGATTAGGGGTTGTCAGGGTCTCATGAAGCGTGGCACCTGCCCCAACCTCCCTGTGGTGGCTGCTTCTAATTGAGGCTATGGCTTCTTCTCTGCTTACTTCCTGAAAGATGTCTCTCTGGTACGGTTTGCCCGTGTCCCCACCCAAATCTCATCTTGTGTTGTAGTTTCCATAATCCCTCCGTGTTATGGGAGGGACCTGGTGAGAGGTAATTGAATCGTGGAGGCTGTTACCCCATGCTGTTCTCATGACAGTGAGCGAGTTCTCATGAGATCTGATGGTTTTATAAGGGGCTTTTCTCCCTTTGCTCAGCACTTCTTGCACCACCATGTGAAGAGCAATGTGTTTGCTTCCCCTTCTACCATGACTGTAAGTTTCCTGAGGCCTCCCCAGCCCTGCAGAACTGTGAGTCAATTAAACCTCTTTCCTTTATAAATTACCCAGTCTCAAGTTTGTCCTTATAGCAGTATGAGAACAGACTAACAGACTCTCCCTCCCTATGAGAACTGTCATAGAGCAAACATTAAAAGTGAAGGCTGTGGAGTGTGACAGTCTATGTTCTAATTCTGAAAGCTGGGTGATCTTGAGCAAATTCATTACTCTCTATCCGCCTCAGGTGTCCTCACCTGTAAAAGGAGGTTAATGGTAGCACTTACCTCATGGGGTTGGAGTAATGATTTAATGAGATCTGACATACCATGTTTGATGCAGTATCTGGAGCATAACACATCTTCAATAAATGATGCGGCCACTCTTCCTTCATGTTATGTGGAGACTCATTTCTTGTTCATAAGTGTAATTAGACATTGATTAATATAATTATATAATTTTTCATTTTCCTTTCTGTGAGTGTGGAATCACAGACAGGGGAAGATTTCACCATGTGCATATCTGCCACATTGAAACATTTGAATGAAAATATGATAAATTTTACAATTTTATTTGACAATTTCTCATGACAGATGAAGAATCTAAAACCCAGAATGCAACAGAAATGTTTTTGGACAGGGCTTTGTTAGTCATAGATGATGGAAGAGAAACCATTTCTCCCAATAAAGTGGTTTTTCTAAAGTACAGCTGTGGCAGGGAAGCAGTGAATGCTTCTTCTACACAAAAAAATTGTTGCCACAGTTTTTTGGCTATAATTAAGTAGAAGTCTAGCATTTTGTATAGCTTATATTATTCTACCGTATCTCTACAAGGTGCACGTTATAACCTCCATTTACGTACAATCAAACTAAGGCTCAGAGAAGTAAAGTGTCTTGTTGAAAGCCACACAGTTGGAAATTATAAGTGGAGGGATTAATGTATGGATTGACAGGGAGCAGGATGAAGAAAATCCCAGAGGGAGCCATTGATATCAGGATGGCAGGGGTAGTCCAAGTGCTTCATGTAAGCTGGGTCCCAGGAGGACCAGGGAGTTAGATAGGAGGAAGTCCCTGCAACTTGCCAGGCAGTAAGGATCCATTCAAAAGCAATACCTGAGTTCCCTCTGTTTACATGGCACCATGAGTATCAATAATGCCCGACTGTGTTTCAGGCATGGTATAGTTATAACATCTCTTTTAGTCTCCACCATAACATCTGCAGGGAAAGCCTTATTATCCACATTTAGGAGATATTATCCTAAACTTATTATCCACAGTTTAATGAAACTGAGCCTAGGAGGGCCCAGTAGCTTGCCCAACTCCTTAGCACACACTCTTGGTTGGGGCATTTATTCTTCCTCCCTCCTCAGGTCTTATCTGAATACAGTAGTGAATGAAATAGGTGTTTCATTCACGAACAAAAGGTACTGAAATTGAGGTGATGGCCCCAGGAACCTGTCCACCATATTCTCCTCCCATCATAACCCTGTCTCATCTCTGGAATCCATAATCCCCACCTACCTCCTAAAGCAGATCCTTATTACTCTAAACCCACTTCCTCTCCTGGAGGAAGTCGTGAAATGATTCTTTCTGCTGGATGCAGGCACATGAAAATGCTAAGGTCCCAGATTAGACTGAATTTGGGCTAAGTTTGGGCAGTTACATCAACAAACTTTTGGAATAAGGAATCATTTCAGGAGCAGATCTGGTTCCTCTCCAGTGCTGAGCAAGTCCTGTAAATGTTCCTCCTGCCTCCAGCTGAGTAGCGTTTGTTTGAAGCTGGTGCAGACTAAGGCAGCAAGCCAGCCACATCTTACGGTCTTGACATGGACAGTTTAGGGCATAGCTCACAATCACAGATCTTTCTTGGCCTAAAACCCCCAATTGCGGAATCACCAAAAATATCTGAGATGGAGATAGGGGTGATGTGGGGAGAGAGAACATGGTCAAGGTGTGCAGGAAGCATTATTTCTGCTAAGTGTGTCTGATTCTCCTGAAAATGGAGCATGAGAACTCTACTTTGTAGCTGCCTGCTGTGCCTGGTTTCTATGTCACAATCTAGAAGCAGGTTACTGTCTCACTTCATCACAGCTACTTCCTCTTGAATCGAGGGAGCCAGCGCTTGTCTTATCTACTTAGAGCAGAGCCTGAGATCTCCCCAGCACAGACGTTTGAACAGAGCAGGCCCCTGATGTCTCCAGGATACCCATCCTAGCCTCCTGGCCCCACCCTCCTAGTCCTTTCCTGCTGCTGACTCTCCTGCTAGGACTCACAGGTGAGCATTGCCTTGGGCTAGAATGCTTTCTTCTTCACCACGGAGCCATGGCCTTCCCCTGGGCTTCCAGGGATTCCAGACAACCACAAGTGCTGCCAAGGAAAGTCAAGGACTGGGCATTGTCTAAGAGCAGAAGATCAGGGAGGTGCATACTTCCTCTGTGGATCTGCAGCTGGCTACCAGAGGCATCAAACCACATGATGCTTCAACCACCACCAAAACAATTACTTACATTTTTATAGTAGTTCAGTTTACACAACACATTCAAAAGAATCATTATTTAAATCCTTGCAACTCTTGAGGCTCCAGAGGCAAAGAAACCCGCGGAAGCCCACAGAGTGAGCTCAGAGACAGCCTGACAAGGCTGTGTGGCTCCAAGCCCAGCCCTCTCTGTGCACCATCCTGAAGAAGTGAAGTCTGAAATGGTGCCTGCTTGAGTTGGGCAGGGGTGCAGTGTTTCCTGGAGATGTCCTGCATCCACCATCCTCCCTAAGGGTGCTCCTCCCTTTGCCCTGTGTTCCCCCCATTCCTCCCTCCTCTGTGATCTGAGTGTTACCACCATTTCTCTGTGGCCAGTTCCTTTTTAAGAAGTTCCACATCTTCTGCTTGCTGGGTCCTATATTTGTTAGGGCTTCCATAACAAAGTACCACAGACTGGGGGGCTAATACTTCCTCGCAGTTCTGGAGCCTGAAGTCCAATATCAAGGTGTCAGTTGGGTTAGTTTTTTTGGTTTTTGGTTTTTGTTTGTTTGTTTGTTTGTTTGTTTGTTTTGAGAGGGAGTCTCGCTCTGTCTACCCAGGCTGGAGTGCAGTGGCGCAATCTCAGCTCACTGCAACCTCCACCTCCTGGGTTCAAGCGATTCTCCTGCCTCAGCCTCCTGAGTCGCTGGGATTACAGGCGCCCGCCACTATGCCCGGCTAATTTTTGTATTTTAGTAGAGATAGGGTTTCACTATGTAGATCAAGCTGGTCTCGAACTCCTGACCTCAAATGATCCGTCCACCTCGGCCTCCCAAATGCTGGGGTTACATGCATGAGCCACCGTGCCCGGCTGGGTTAGTTTCTAATGAGGTCTCTCCTTGGCTGTAAAAGGCCATCTCTTCCCTGTGTCTTAGCACGTGGTCTTCCCTCTGTGTGCGTCTGTACCCTCAGCTCCTCCTGTAGTGAAAACATGGGTCACAGGGTCACATTGTGTTAAGGCCTGTCCGCAATGACCTCCTTTAACTGAATTACTTCCTAAAGAGCCTATCTCCAAATACAGTCACATTTTGAGCTATTAGGGATTGGGACTTCAACACATTCATTGTGGGGGACACATTCAGCCCATAACAGGTCCCCATAACATGCCTTGGTTCCCTAGACTTTTCTGTGGAGATTTTATTTCCCCTTCCCCAAGACAGGCAGGACTGGAGGGCCTTAACTGGTGCAGCCTTTGAGAGCCGGGCTGCTTGTCCTCACCCCTTTCTCAATCCATGGAGCTGACCCCATGGTCACAGGGCTGGGCATAGTACCTTCTCAGCTCCCCAGTGGGCCCTGCTGTGATGTCCCCTCACAGATCCTAAAGGGCAGGGCTCCCACTTTTAAAAGTATTTTTCTTACACATACACTGTAGTGAAATTACTACCATAATAGTTCACCAATTAAACTCTTCTGATAAGACAGACACATTTCTTAGCATTTTGTATTAATGTGACTAATCCTCACAATATCACTGTGTGAAAGCTACAGTTGTTATCCTCTACTTGCAAAAGGGGAGTCAGGCAGAGGGAGGAACTTGTTCATTGTCTCCTAGCTCAGTCAATGGAGCAGCTCCAGAGTTCCTTCTTTAAGCCAGTTTATGTTAATTGCAGAAAAATTAGAAAGTGCAGGGAGGAAAACAGAGGAACAATCACCACCCATCACACCAGTCAGAGACAACCAGAGTTAAAACCCTGTTGTATGCACTCCAACCTTTTGTTAATAATGTGTTGGATGCTTTCTATGTGCCAGATATTTTACTGAGCTTTTAAAATGTATTATAATTTAGGTCGGGCAGGGTGGCTCATGCCTGTAATCCCAGCACTTTGGGAGGCCTAGGCAAGTGGATTGCTTGAAGCCAGGAGTTCAAGACCAGCCTGGCCAACATGGAAAAACCCTGTCCCTACTAAAAATACAAAAAAAATTAGCTGTGCATGGTGGTGCATGTCTATAACCTCAGCTTCTTGGGAGGCTGAGGCACGAGAATTGTTTGAACCCAGGAGGCGGAGGTTACAGTAAGCCAAGATCATGCCACTGCACTCCAGCCTGGGCAGCAGAGGGACAGTGAGACTGTCTCGAAAAAAAAAAAGTGTTATAATTTTATTCAATGCACAAAACAACCTTGTATATTAGCATGATAGGCCATGCTTTTATATGTGTTTATGAATGTGTGTATGTGTGAGTGTGTGTATACACATTTGTGTATACGAGTGTAAGAATACACACACAGGAGTTTTTATTTTTTATTATTTCTCTTTCTATTTTAAATTAAATTTTTAACAAAAAATTGTAGTTTTATTTTCTATTTGTCAAAATTATGCATATCTACAACATATTAAGAAATATGTATACATTTTGAAATGACTAGATTGAGCTAATTAACATATGCATGATCTTACATACGTATCTTTTTTTGTGGAGAGAACTCATAAAATCTGCTCTCTTAGTATAATGGATGTTATTAAATATGGACTCCATATTGTACAGGTAATCGCTTAATCATATTTCTCCTATCTAACTGAAATTTTGTATCCTTTGACCAATCTCTCCCCAGCCATACCTCCTCCCTAGCCCCTGGTAACACCCATTCTACTGTCTATTTCTATGTGTTCAACTTTTTTAGATTCCACATATGAGTGAGATCATGTGGTATTTGTCTTTCTGCACCTGGCTTTTTTCATTTAGCATAAAGTCCCCCAAGTTTATGTATGTTGTCAAAAATTACAGGATTTCCTTCTTTGGTAAGGCTGATTAGAATTCCATTGTGTATTTTCCTTATCAGTTTGTCTGTTGATGATGGACACTTAGATTGATCCCATATCTCAGCTATTCTAAATAGTGCTGCAGTGAACATGGGAGTGCAGATATTTCTGTGACATGTTGACTTCGTTTCCATTGATTGTATACCCAGTAGTGAGATGGCCGGATCATAGTAGTTCTATTTTAATTTTTGAGGAATTGCCATACTGTTTCTATCATGGCTGAACTAATTTACATTCTCACCAACAGTATGCAAGAGTTTTCTTCTCTGCACACACTCTCCAACACTAGTTAAATATCATTGTTTTTATAATAGCCATTCTAACTGGTGTGAGATGATATCTCACTGTGGTTTTAATTTACATTTCTCAGGAGAATAGTAATGTTGGATTTTTTTCATATGCCTACAGCCATTTGAATGTCTTCTTTTGAGAAATGTCTGTTCAGATATTTGGCCTGTATTTTATATTTTGGGTTGTTTTCTCACTATGGAGTTGTTTGACTTCCTTCTATATTTTATATATTGACTTTTTATCAGATGTATGGTTTGCAAATATTCTCCCATTCTACAGGTTGTCTCTTCACTCTGTTGATTGTTTTCTTGCCTGTGTAGACAGTGTTTAGTTTGTTGGAATCTCATGTGTCTATTTTTGCTTTTGTTGTCTGTCCTTCTGGGTTTATATCCCAAAATTAACTGCCCAGACCAATGTCATGGCACTTTTCTTCTAGTACTTTTACAGTTTTGGATCTTACATTTATGTCTTTAATCCATTTTAGTTGATTTTTTTATGTGATATAAGATGAAGGTCCAATTTTATTCCTTTACATGTGGACATCCAGTTTTGCCAACACCAGTTTTTGAAGACTGGTCTTTCCTCATTGTATGTCTAACAGTTTTGTCAAAAGTCAATTAAGCAAAAATATGTAAGTTTGTTTCTGGACTCTCTATTCTGTACCATCGATCTATGTGTCTCTTCTTATGCCAATGCCATGCTATTTTGATTATTATAGCATTGTACCAGATTTTGAAATAAGGCAGTCTGGTGCCTCCAGCTTTCTTCTTTTGCTCAAGATGGCTTCACCTATTCATGGTTTTCTGTAGTTAATATTAATTTCAGATTGTTCTGTCAATTTCTGTGGAAAATATCATTGGAATTTTTTTAGGATTGAACTGAATTTGTAGATCTCCTCAGGAAATATTTAAACAGTATTAATTCTCCAATCCCTAAACACACATATCTTGTCATTGTGTGTCTTCTATTTCTTTCATCAGTGATTCATAGTTTTCAGGGGGCAGATCTTTCACTTACTTGATTAAATTTACTCCTAGATATTTTAGTTTTTTGAAGCAATGGTAAATGAGATTATTCTATTAATCTTTTTAAGCTAATTTGTCATAAGTGTATAGAAATGCACTGATTTTGCATGTTAAGTTTCTATTTTGCAACTTTATTTGCTTTTTTGATCTAATTGTTTTTAGAGATTTTAGGATTTTCTATGTATAAGATAGTGTCTTCTGAAAACAGCAACAATTTAAATTCTTCCTTTCTGATTTGTATGACTTTCATTTCTTTCTCTTGATAATTATTCTGGATAGGACTTCTGATACTATGTTGCATAGAATTAGTGAGACAGGATATCCTTGTCTTGTTCCTGATCTTAGAGAAAAAGCTTTTCACTTTTCTTCACTGGATATCATGTTAGCTGTGGATTTGTCCTATATGGATTTCATTGTACTGAGGAGCATTCATTTTACATCTAATTTTTTGAGCATTTTTACAATGAAAAAATGTTAAATTTTGTCATATGCTTTTTTTGTCATTGTTGATATGGTCCTATGGTTTTTGTCCTTCATTCTGCTGATGTACTGTATTGCATTTGTAGATTTATGTTTATTGAAGCATCCTTGTATTCCTGAGAAAAATCTCACTTAATCATGCTGAAACACACAGGATTTTAAAAAGACATTCTCTTCCATTCATATTTTAGTCTACATGAAATGCACGTTGAAGAGATGTTTGGTTTTCCCTGTTGCCCAGCCACTCTCTTCCCCTTTCTACCATCTGATATTACCACTGAAACTCTCCCAATCTGTTAAGATAAGCAATAGGTAAGCAACTTCTCTCTTGGTAAAATGAGTTTTATTTTAAAGCAGAACTTCTGTGCATTACTGTCTTAGAGTTCCCTCTTTCATGAAGGGTAAGAGTGAGGAAGAAAGAAAGGGATAAAACAGAGAGCGCTGTCTATGTTATCTACATCTATGGTTATATCAATAGCTGTATCCATATGCATATCATATAATGTCGATTGAAGCCTCCATGACTTAGAAAATCTAAAAAGTAATAATTTACAATTTTTGAATACTCACCATGTGCTAGACACTGTTGGAAATGCCTTATAGCTGTTACCTCAGATGGTTGTTATGCCCAGAATAAATATTCCCCTTAACCTCCTCCCACTGCTCACAGATAAGAAAACAGAAGCACAAAGAGTTGTGTGGATGCTCATTGGTAACTGGTAGAGCTATGATTCGAACTCAGGCACTCTGACTCCAGAGATCACAGGTTTCACCGTCACTCTTGTCAAATACTTGTGGCCTTGATGCTATGCCATGAGACTTCTTGCAGCTGCTGCTCCTGGGAGTGAGTGGGGTTGTGGTATAGGAAGAGGGTTTGTGGTTTTCTCCTTCTGGGCTCTTCTGCTTTCTTTGTGTATGCAAATGAATGTTTTTTAAACCAAGTCATCTACATGGGAAACTCAGTTTCTAGCAAATATCACAGATGCAGTCCACTTAAAATAGATTTCAGTGTCCCAGGGAAGTGTTCTAATGAGTAATTCACACCTTACACACCTATATATTGGATAGCTACTATGTGCCAGGACCTGACATAGAACATGGCATGCATTGGTGAATAAAAGAGCAAAAGTGGTTGACCTTTTGGAGCTTATATTCTACTGGAGAAATGATAATAACCAATACACATGATAAGTAGATAAATAAAATAGTGTAGTATGAGTATATGATTTTATCATGTTGTGGAAATGTCCATATATTCCTTTTATTGATTATTTTTCTCATAAAAAGATGTTCAAATTTGTCAAATGCTTTTCTACATCAAATGAGATAATCGTGTCTTTTTCTCTTCACTGTGTAATATGATATATTACATTATCATTTGTATATTGAAACATCTTTGTATTCTAGGAATAAATTCCACTTACTCATGGTGTAGAATCCTTCTAATATGCTATTAAATTCAGTTTGTTAGTATTTGGTTGAGAATTGTTGCATCAACAAATTATAAGACCAACAGTCCACAAAATGGTGTGCAGCTGCACCTGACGGAAATTTTAATTTTGCTTTTCAGTGGAAGTTTAGGTTCCAATGGGCCCCATTTCAGATGAGCAGAGCCTTGCATGTGGGACAATCTACGGTTCATGATTGCAACAGGAGAGTATTGTTCCTAGATCTGGACTCCAGGATGGGAGAGCCCAGTAGGTAACCAGGCATTTGTTGTTTTAATGGAATATAGCACAAGGGTGAGAGGGGCATTGTTTTTGCATCAAAGGCCCTGGGGAGATGTATGGCCATCATGAATGGTCTAGAAACTCCAAAAAGCATGAAAGAAATTGCTAAAGTCTCCACAGAGAAGAGGTATTTTTGTTTCTTTGTTTATAGGCACTAACAGGGGTGCCTATTGATTTTAATTTGTAAATAAACTTTGTAAAAGAAGAATATGTTGCCACTGGCGCCTCAAAACAACTTAGAGATGCTGGATAATGTGATGTTAATATGCACATCACATGAATCTCCTTTGAAGAGGTTGTTATCAATGTTATGTCATCCTGTGCTCTTGAAGAAATGTAGATGTCATTATTGATATTTAAACAGGATCCTCACTTCAGGATAGAGAGTCTTGGCAGAACTCCAAAAGGTAACATGAAGCTGCACATAGCACAGCAAAAGAAAGCCATCAGTGTAAAAAGCCTTCTCAAGTTGTGGAGCCAATCAGAGTAGCAAATTAGTAAGCCATGAATAGTTAAAGAGCATCTCCTAGGAAATTTCCACCCCAGTTTAGAATGATCCCATTCTCATTGCCATTGGTATTGAAAATGCTAAAGTCAGGCTATTGGGTCTTTATGAATCACTCTAAGATGGTCATGAAATTTTCACTTGGAAAGGCATGTGGAATATGATTTATTTTACTCACAGGTCCTAGAGAGGGAAGTAGGGCATGCTACGTAGAAAGCCATATGAGAAGAGCTCCTAGGAAGCAGGCTCAATCAAGCAGATGGGGAAGCAAGAGAGAAAGAATTCCTCAGCAAGTGCCTTTACTGGGAGTCAGGGTAGAGGGTACAAGCAAAGAGCATGATGGGATTTACTGGTGTCTTTTTATGGGATTAGGTCACAATATGGGAGGGCAAGAAAGGGAAATTGTGCCAGGAGCCAGCCTTATCACACTGGTGCACCTGGTCACCTGGGCAGGGTACTCACAGCATGATTGTGGGATGTTGAAGCATCAGAAAAATATGAACTAAAATAAATTTACATGTAGCAGGACTTTTTTTTTTTTTTTTAGACAGAGTCTCACTCTGTCACCAGGCTGGAGTGCAGTGGCACGATCTCGGCTCACTGCAACCTCCAACTCCCTGGTTCAAGCTACATGATCTCGGCTCACTGCAACCTCTGACTCCCTGGTTCAAGCTATTCTCCTGCCTCAGCCTCCTGAGTAGCTGGGATTACAGGCATGCACCACCACGCTCAGCTAACTTTTGTATTTTTTAGTAGAGACAGGGTTTCACCATGTTGGCTATGATGGTCTTGATCTCCTGACCTCGTGATCCGCCCGCCCTGGCCTTCCAAAGTGCTGGGATTATAGGCATGAGCTACCATGCCCAGCCTGGACATTTTTATTTATACAACTTGCAGTTGCCATGTAGCATCCTTTTATTTCTACCTGAAACCACTCTTGTAGGTAAGGTTTAATGGTAGTGAACTCTCTTAGTTTTTATTCATCTGAGAATATCTTAATTTCTCCCTCATGTTTAGAGGATAGTTTTCCCAGGTATAAGATTCTTGGTTGATAGGTTTTTCCTCTTTCAGCATTTTCAGCATATCACTCCTCTGCCTTCTGGCTTCCAGTGCTTCTGATAAGAAATTGGCTGATCATCTCATTGAAGAACTCTTGTATGTGAGGAATCCATTCTCTATTGCTGCTTTCAGGATTCTTTCCCTGACTTTAGTTTTCAACAGTTGGATTATAATGTGTCTTAGTGTGGGTCTCTGAATTTTTCCTTGAGTTAAACTTGAGTTTCTTCAGAATCTTAAATTTGAGGATTCATGTATTCTATCAAGTTTCAAAAGGTTTTGGGGTATTATGTCTTCAAATAATCTGTTCCTTTCTCTCTTCCTCTTTTCTTCTTCTAGAACTCTAACAATGTTTGTGTTGATCCATTTGATAATGTCCTACAATGTCCTCGGGTTCTGCTTGTTTTTCTTTATTCCTTTTTCTTTCTATTCCCCAGTCACAATAATTTCAATTATTCCATATTCCAGTTTTCTGAATCTCTCTTCTGACTGCTCACACCAGTTGGAGAACACCTCTAGTGGATTTTTCAATTATTGTACTGTTTAACTCTTAAGTTTCTGTTTATTTTTTATAATTTCTCTTGCTGTTGTTCTTATTTTATTAATGCATCATATTCCAATGTTTCTTTAGTTTTTTTTCTGTTGTTTTCTTTAGCTGTTTGAGCATGTTTAAGACAGTGATTTAACATCTTGGTCTAGTGTCAGAAAGGGCCCAATATATGACAAGGGTCTTTGTAGGACATATGACAATGGAAGCAAGATGTGGGAGTGATGGGAAGATGTAACTGTGAGGAAAGGAATGTGGCAGCAAGGAACAGAGCCTCTAGAATACACACAGCTTTGCTGACACCTCTTATTTAAGGGGTAAAACATGGTGCTTTCGTATACATAGACATAGTGTAATGGTTATTACAGTCAAGCAAATGAACATATCCACCCTCTCACATAGTTACCGTGTGTGTGTGTGTGTGTGTGTGTGTGTGTGTGTGTGTGTGTGTAGGGCATCTAAGATAGACTCTTTGAGCAAAAATACTGAATTCAATGCAATGCTATTAACTCTAGTCCTCATATTGCACATTAGATCTCTGGACTTCTTCATCCTACCTTTCTGCAGTTTTGTATCTTTTGGCCTGCATCTCCCCATTACCTCTCCGACTTCACTCCTGGCCACCAACATGTCATCCTCTATCTTTGTATATCTGAAGATTTTTCTCCTTGATTCTGTCCAGTAACATGATTTTGGACTTCTGACCTCCAGAACTATAAGATGATACGTTTCTTTTGTTTTAAGATGCTAAGTTCTGATAATTTGTCACATCAACATTAGGAAACTAAGGTAATGTAATTATGCTATGGGTGAGAAATTCTCAGGGGCTTAAAACAATGTTGTACTTGTTAGTTAAGCTGCATGTTCAGTGTGTGTGGAGAATTCATGGTCATTCAGGCATCCAGGCTGATGGAGCAGACCTCATCAGAGCCTCGTAGGTCTCTGTGGAAGGGAGAAGTTAATCCACAGAGGCTCTTGCAGTTAAATGCACAGCCCACAAATTATACCCATCATTTCTGCTCACAACTCAGTGGCCTAAAGGAGTCACATGGCTCCACCCAATGCAATGATTCAGAAAGTCTGGCCAGGCGCGGTGGCTCACACCTGTAATCTCAGCACTTTGGGAGGCCAAGGCAGGCAGATCAACTGAGGTCGGGAGTTTGAGACCAGCCTGACCAACATGGAGAAACCCCGTCTCTATTAAAAACACAAAAGTAGCCAGGCATGGTGGCGCATGCCCGTAATCCCAGCTACTCGGGAGGCTGAGGCAGGAGAATCCCCTGAACCCAGGAGGCGGAGGTTGTGGTGAGCCGAGATCATGCCATTGCACTCCAGCCTGGGCAACAAGAGCGAAACTCCGTCTCAAAAAAAAAAAAAAAAAAAAGAAAGTGCAACATTCCATATGGCCAGAAAGTGGAGGCACAAATATTTAGCAAAGCATGACACTTCCAAGGGGGGATCAGGAGCTCCACTCAGGTTAGCAACCCCATGCTCTTCCATGAAACTGAACCTCTCTGTGTCTCAGTGTCCTCACTTATAATACAGTCTCATGTTACAGACTTGTTGTGAGGGTTAAATGAGATAATACACACAGTGTGCTGAGCTCAAGGCCTGCTCCTGGTATGCACCCAGTCATTGAAGTTCATTGATACACACTTGAGGAAACATTCAAGATCACGTAAGGATGAGTAAATGACTGCTCTGTTACTTTCTAGGAGTGGCAGGTGAGGAGCTGCAGGTGATTCAGCCTGAGGCATTTGTGTCAGTTGCAGCTGGAGAGATGGCCACTCTGAACTGCACTGTGACCTCCCTGCTCCCTGTGGGACCCATCCAGTGGTTCAGAGGAGCTTGTCCAGGCCAGAAATTAATCTATAGTCCAAAAAGATGCCACTCTCCCCGGGTAACAACTATTTCAGACCAGAGAAAGAGAAACAGCACAGACTATTCCATCCGCATCAGTAGCATCACCCTCGAAGATGCTGGCACCTACTACTGTATGAAGCTCCGGAGAGCAATTCCTGCCAACGTGGAGATTAAGTCTGGACCAGGGACTCAGATGTCTGTGCGTGGTGAGTACAGTGTAGGCCTCCTTCATCCCCCAAGGTATGACAAGAAGTCAATAATAGCACTGTCCTCTGTCAGCAACAATCAAGGGTGGCAGTGGGTGCTCACTTTCATGATCTGATGCCACCCTCTTCTACAAATCAGGTATATTGAGGCCTGGAGATGTCATGCTATTCACTCAAGTCTCCGTGACTGGTAAATGATGGGGAAGTCTGAAACCTTAGTCTGCCTGGCACCATAGCCTTTGCCTCTTCTAATCTGGCCCAGCCATGTTTCCACAGATAAGGGAGCTGATGGTTTGAGTGATTTTCCCAGGCACAAGGCTAGACCTTGCCTGCTGCGTCCACAGAGCACTTTCCCCCCAGGGTGGCTGAGTCTCTTCTTTACGTAACAAGCATTCATCGAGAACCTACTGTGTGTGAGTCTCCACCGTGGTTGCTGGGCAAATAGTTGTTAAAAAAAAAAAAAGGCACAAGCTCTGCTTTCACCAAGCTTACATTCTGTTCCCTTCTAATGAGGATAAATCCATCCAGAGCACTGAGGGAGTAAATTGGGTTTTTCTTTATATAATCTTCAGAACCATCACACTGGGAAGATTCCTGAAGGACACAGATTCACTGTTTAATCTGATGGCCGTGGTGAAAGGAGACGGCAAGAGCTTTATGGGTCTATCCAGGATGTTTGTGGGTTGTTCAGGAAACCCTTGTGTGATTCAGGGACTGCCTCACACAGTCACTAAAGGTTTCAAGCAGAGCTAGGCCATCTCAGAATGTCCCTCGCCTAAGAGAAGAGGTCCTCTATATGGGTGACTTAGGGGTCCCCCAGTTAAGGCAGCAGAATGCTTATTTTGGGTTTTCTTTCAGAGGCCCAGGTTCCTCAATTTAACTCCTGAATCCTGGAATATCAGTGCAAAAAGGACCTTCAGACCATTTAGCCCAATGCCCTTTTACAGATGGGAGACTGAAGCCAAGAAATGACAGGGGCCTTGCCCAAGGTCACAGGGCCAGTTAGGGTTGGGGCAAGAGCCCAGATCCTACTCCAGGCAGGCTTCGTTCCATCCTGGCATTAGATACTCTCTCCATAGAAGAGTCTGGTTCGTAGTAGGTGCTGAATGAAAGCTCCTTGAAAAGAACCGAGTAGGAAGCCAGTATTTCTCCTTTTCATAGTTACTCAAAGGTTTAGAACGCCTCTCTCCTTCATTCTCTGTGCTCTGTTGGTGATTGGAAAACCTCTCCCAAATGCAAGCCATATAATTTCTTATTGAGATTCCATATAAGGACATAGAGACCTGCTCCATTGTTTACCAGCTGCAGAATATGTCAATTTATGGAAATATCAAATGTTATTTTGCAGACTTCTGTTGATGGATATGTAAGTGGTTCCCAACCTTGAGCTTTTGAAACAATTCTGCTGTGGGTGAACCTGCACATATGTTATCCTACTCTGGTGGCAGATGCCTGCCAGAAGTTGCATTGTTAGGTCAGAGAGTGTATGTGTTTTAATTTAAATGGATGTTGCCTAATTTCCCTCCTAGATGAAACAGCAATCAAGGCTCCCCAGAACCCTTGAACATAGGTAGGAATGTGGCTTTATCCTAATTTGCAAATATTACAGACAAAGACACTAAAATTCCCAGGTGGTGCATCTCATACCTGGAACAATGACAGCTAGCAAGTGACTCAGGTTTAACTGAGATCTGCTAACTCCTAGTAGGGTTCTCACTCCTCTTTGCCATGCTATTGGCCTAAGTGACCACTTGGATGAAAGAAGAGGGAGGTGGGAGGGGGCCAAGGAGCAGCGGTTGTGTCAGAGACTGTACCGTCATCCTGGCATTTTCTCCTTTTAACCAGTGCTACGAAGTCGGAGCCATTTGCTGTCCCTTTTACAGATGAAGACATTGAGGCTCAGAGAGGGAACCTGAGTGGTGAACAGGTCAGGGATCCAAGGTTTGAATCCCACAAGCCTGATTGATAGCCCCTGTCTCTGCAACACCCAGCGCACTTGTTAAACTATAGAGAATCCCTCCAAACTTCTCATTCTGAACTCTTGCTTTGGAGAACTGAACAGCCCAGGTAGCCTCAGATGGGGTAAGTGGAGGCCCCTGGGATGGCCTCCCAGGTGGCCCCTCTAATGGATCCTCCTGTCTCCTGATTTCCAGTCCGGGTGCCAGCTCCTACTGCCTCACTCCTCCTAGGTCTCCTCCTGGGCTCCAAGGTGCTGCTGCTGGTTGATGTCTCTGCTGCCTATGTCCACCGGAAGCAGAAGGCCTGACTGTAAGTGTAGAGGAGGGAGGGTGGGCCAAGGGCTGCTCCAGAAGGTCAGGCCAGCAGGAGCACCCAGCCCGCATGCCACACAGCCTCAGGGTCAGTGGAGTTTGGAGAAGGTGATGGGGCTTCCTCAGCACCCTCAGAAGTCTCAGGGAACCCTCTAGGAGAATCCCAACCCCAGGAAGTGTGTGGGTGCTGCAGGAGGTGGGCTACCATAAGGGTGTTCAAAGGTGTCCACAGCACCCTAGGGGCCCATAGGGGAGGTGGGGAGAGGGGGCTGAATGAGGGCCAACTCTGTAGGTGGTCCCTTGCAGGCCATCTCTCAATTATTTGATGCTGTACTCCGTGGCATCTAAGGAATCCCCACTGTAGAGTACTGTTGAGACGCCTCAAGTGGGCTGCTCTTAGTGCTCTCAGGCTCTCAGCGCCTGAGTGGGAGGGATGAGGGAAAGGGCATCAGGACTTGGGAGGAGGGCTGAGCAGGTGAAATTCTATCTCAGGGCTCCCTGTCCACCCATAATAGGCATCCCAAGAGGAAGACCAGCACTGAGGACATAGCAGAGTCTCAGGAATCATTTCTTGAAGGATGAGCAGATGACTAAATGTGGATGTGTTTCCCACAGCTCCTTTCCTCCTCCCCTGCCATGTGGGACCCTCAGTCTGTGCTGCCTCCTTCCTTCCTTGAAGGGCTCAGCTGGAGAGAAGGAGCTGGCGAGAAGCTTCCCCAGACTCAGCTCCAAATGCCTGTCCTCCCAGGACATCTTCCTGCCCACAGGCTCCTGTTGCTCCTTTGCAGAGTCCTTGATGCTCCATAGCAGGGTCTTCATTCATGGTCCTGAGCAGAGGCCATGGGATGGGGCTCTGGGGAGTGACTCACGACACCTCCCTAGGATGTGGGAAACACGCCAAATCTAAACACATTAGGACTCCTTGCATCCATCGCCTTGGGACTGGCCATAAACCACAGACTCTCTCTAGCCCCTCAAGAGTTATTCTGCCATCTGGATTCCTGCCTACTCCAACTTCCCAGCCTTGTTGAGGTTCACTATTGCCTCCTGAATACAAATGAACCCCCATCCCAATTTTAAGAAAAAATGATTCTCCTTCCTCTTTGTCTCACACCAAGAAAGAAAGAAGCTCTCCCTGCTTTCTCTGTGATGGGACACTAGTTCTGCTAGCATCCTGCAGCCTTCCCAGCCCTGCTGCTCGTGGCAGAAATGCTGCCACAGTCCAACATCCTGGAGTCCTCCTTGATTTCTCACTCTCTTTTTTTTATACTCTGCATTCAATTCTGCCTTTGAAATGCTTATGTCCACTTATATGAGACAGTAAATGTTTAACAATGGACTTTCTGAAAGGGAAAAACAAAAAGCTGATTTGTAGTGCTTGCCAATCTCTGTAGTATGAAAATTCCCAACATAGACAGTTTCAAGCCATCAACAGTTAAACAACCAGATTGCAAAATTCCTAAAATTTAACAATTGGCTCTCAGCTGCTCCAGCACAGCACTGAGTTACATGCCTAATTCATGCATTTCTCACCTCCACCACCCTTCCCTGTCGCAGCCAGCATCATCTCTTCTGGTAGCATTCCAATTGCCTCTACTGGCTTTCAGTTTTCAGCCACAGTGATTCTTTGGAAAAGTCTAGTTGTATACTCCTCTGCTTCTTCTCCAACACAGCTACATGGTTCCCTTCATCCCTCCTTCAACTCTTTCTGCCTAATGTCTACTAATGTAAACCACCCTGTATAAAATATCAATTTCCCTCCCTACCCTGATACTCTAATTTATCTTAACATGATGAATTTTTCCTTAGCACATATTACCATCTGTATTATTCTGAATACAGGCAGTTCTCACTTTTCATGGCAATGCAGGATTGTAAAAATGACCGTGCAACCTGAAACCTGGGAAAGCAATCTCCATATCCAATTGGAAAAACAATGATCATTCTGTGACTTTTACAATTTTTTGTCAAAATATTAGAAACAAAGTTACAAACGTAGGAGGCAATAAAAATGTAATGAAATAAACATTTATTAGTGCACTGTAATTCAAAGCATTAGAAACATTGAGAGTTCAAGTGTTTTATTGATTTGTAAAAATGTATCAAGAGTAGTTGGATCAGTGCTTGCCACCTTCTTGTGCATTTCTGATATGGAGCAAGCATTGTTTCTACCTTGGTGTTTCATCATCTTCCTAATTTTGAATTTGTTTCCAACATCTTATCCTTTGCAATTTGTTTGTTTGTTTGTTTTTTAAATTATACTTTAAGTTCTAGGATACATGTGCAGAATGTGCAGGTTTGTTACATAGGCATACATGTGCCATGGTGGTTTGCTGCACCCATCAACCCATCATCTACATTATGTATTTCTCCTAATGCTATTCCTCCCCTTGCCCCCCCACCCCCCAACAGGCCCCGGTGTGTAATGATCCCCTCCCTGCATACATGTGTTCTCATTGTTCAACTCCCACTTATAAATGAGAACATGCGGTGTTTGGTTCTCTGTTCCTGTGTTAGTTTGCTGAGAATGATGGTTTCCAGCATCACTCATGTCCGTGCAAAGGACATGAACTCATTCTTTCTTATGGCTGCATAGTATTTGATTGTGTATATGTGCCACATTTTCTTTATCCAGTCTATCATTGATGGGCATTTGGGTTGGTTCCAAGTCTTTGTTATTGTGAATAGTGCTGCAATAAACATACGTGTATGTGTCTTTATAGTAGCATGATTTATAATCCTTTGGGTATATACCCAGTAATGGGATTGCTGGGTCAAATGGTATTTCTAGTTCTAGATCCCTGAGGAATCACCACACTATCTTCCACAATGGTTGAACTAATTTACATTCCCACCAACAGTGTAAAAGCATTTCTATTTCTCCACATGCTCTCCAGCATCTGTTGTTTCCTGACTTTTTAATGATCGCCATTCTAACTAGCGTGAGATGGTATCTCATTGTGGTTTTCATTTGCATTTCTCTAATGACCAGTGATGATGAGCTTTTTTTCATATGTTTGTTGGCTGCATAAATGTCTTCTTTTGAGAAGCGTCTGTTCATATCCTTTCCCACTTTTGGTGGGGTTGTTTGTTTGTTTCTTGTAAATTTGTTTAAGTTCCTTATAGATTCTGGATATCAGCCCTTTGTCACATGGATAGATTGCAAAAATTTTCTCCAATTCTGTAGGTTACCTGTTCACTCTGATGATAGTTTCTTTTGCTGTGCAGAAGTTCTTTAGTTTAATTAGATTCCATTTGTCAATTTTGGCTTTTGTTGCAATTGCTTTGGTGTTTTAGTTATGACGTCTTTGCCCATGACTATGTCCTGAATGGTATTGCCTAGGTTTTCTTCTAGGGTTTTTATGGTTTTAGATCTTACATTTAAGTCTTTAATCCATCCTGAGTTAATTTTTGTATAAGGTGTAAGGAAGGGGTCCAGGTTCAGTTTTTTGTATATAGCTAACCAGTTTTCACAACACCATTTATTAAATAGGGAATCCTTTCCCCATTGCTTGTTTTTGTTAGGTTTGTCAAAGATCAGATGGTGTACATGTGTGGTGTTATTTCTGAGGTATCTCCCAGTCAGGAGGCATGGGGGTCAGGGACCCACTTCAGGAGGCAGTCAGCCCCTTATCAGAGCAGTGCTGTGCTGGGAGATCCGCTGGTCTCTTCAGAGCTGGCAGGCAGAAAACTTTGAGTCTCCTGAAGCTGCAACCACAGCCACAACTTCCTTCAGGTGCTCTTTCCCAGGGAGATGTGAGTTTTATCTATAAGCCCCTGACTGAGGCTGCTGCCTTTCTTTCAGAGATGCCCTGCCAAGAGAGGAGGAATCTAGAGAGGCAGTCTGGGTACAGTGGCTTTGCTGCACTGTGGTGGGTTCTGCCCAGTTCGAACTTCCTGGTGGCCACCTACTCAAGCCTCAGTAATGGCAGATGCCCCTCCGCCAACCAAGCTTGAGCATCCTAGGTCAACCTTAGTCTGCTGTGCTGGCAGCACGAATTTCAAGCCAGTGGATCTTTGCTTGCTGGGCTCCATGGGGGTGGGATCCACTGAGCTAAACCACTTGGCTCCCTGACTTCAGCCCCCTTTCCAGTCTCACTGTCATTTCAGGTGCCACTGGGGTACAAAAAAAAAAATTCCTGGAGCTAGCTCTGTGTCTGCCCAAGTGGCCGCCCAGTTTTGTACTTGAAACCCAGGGCCCTGGTGGTCTAGGCACCCAAGGGAATCTCCTGGTCTTCAGGTTGCAAAAACCATGGGAAAAGCATAGTATCTGGACCAGATAGCACTGTCCCTCACAGCATAGTCCATCACGGCTTCCCTTGGCTAGGGTAGGGAGTTCCCCAAAACCTTGTACTTCCCAGGTGAGGTGACGCCCCACCCTGCTTCTGCTTACCCTCCGTGGGCCACACCCACTGTCTAACCCGTCCCAGTGAGATGAGCTGGGTACCTCAGTTGGAAATGCAGAAATCACCCACCTTCTCTGTTGGTCTCACTGGGAGCTGCAGACTGGCACTGCTCCTATTCGACCATCTTGCCAGCTCTTCCCCTTTGTACTTTCAAAGTGGTGAAATCTCTGCAAAAGTTCCTTTCATGTGAAGATTTTTGCCTGTGTCACATTCTCTGGGAGCACTTTCTTCTCTCCCATCCCTGCATGAGACAAGACTTGGAGCTCCTTTTCCATAAACATCTGTGTAGACACTTACTGGGATGTGCCTTGCCCTAGTCATAGTGATTCCCCCTGAGGCCAAGCCCACACCACGACCCTGGTGCTAGTAATGACTTTGTGATTATAAGGCTGGACACATGACCCACACTCATCATGTGGTGGTACCTGCACATCCCCCAGCCATTGGCCAGGGTTGTTGCACTGCATCGTAAATCCTTGAGGGCAGAGAGTCTGTTTTTTAAAACTATTACTATTACCAAAATACCACCTAATAAAAATCATATCTAACTTTTGGAACACGGTCAGCTGTTATTAAGTAATTTGCATATATTAATCCATTTTACGGCCTTAACAAACCTATGAAGTTGATATGACTATTATTTCCATTTTAGGGAACTGAAGAAACAGAGATGTTAAACAAATACCCCTAGGTCACACAGCCAGGACTGGTAGAACTAAATTCAAACCTAGAAGTTCTGATTCCTAAGCCCACAAGTTTAAACTGTGCTCTTCTCAAACATCCACTGACTCCTCCCTTTTCCCACAGCCATATCTCATTATCTGCACCTTGTGTCATGAGTGCAGGGCTAAATTTCGCAGAAGGAGAATTTTAGCTTATGGTTTCCCAGGCTCCTGCTTCTCTCAAACATTCAGGCTGTAACTGTACTGCACGAAGTCAACTTAAATTTGAAACTCAATTCTCCACGTGATTTCCACAAAATTTTTTCACTCACATAGCATCTATGCATCTAATAGATCTTTATTGAAGGACTGGAGTTCACAGGAAGTCACTTTGCTGCTCCAAGTACAGATTCTGCCAAATTATTGAAACTATTCTATCAATATTTGAGTCATATATTCCAAATTATAGTTTTGGAGGTATAATATTTTGTGACTCATATCTTCCGGGTAGTTGTTACTTTCATAAAAGGAAATATTCCTCTTTCAACCATTTGTGCTTTTTGCCTTAAATTATACTTCTTAAGATATTAATATTTCTAGCACAAAATTTTGCAAAGTATGTTATGGTATTTCTTTGTTATTGCTATATTTATACATGTTTACATTACTTTGTTTGGATGTGTCTCTTTGTGCTGGGTCCTAGGAGATGGCCCCTACGTGATGACCCAGCTCACTACTTACTACTCATTTATGTATAGTCAGCTTACTCAGCTGATATGGTTTGGATCTGTATCCCCACCAAATCTCATGTAGAATTGTAATCTCCAATGTTGGAGGTGGGCCTGGTGGGAGGTGATTGGATCTTGGGTGTGGATTTCCCTCTTGGTGCTGTTCTCATGATAGTAAGCAAGTTCTCATGAGATCTGGTTGTTTAAAAGTGTGTGATACCTCCCTACTCTCCCTGTCCCTCCTGCTGTGACCATGTAAGATGAGCCTACTTCCCCTTCGCCTTCTGCCATGTTTGTAAGTTTCCTGAGACTTCCTCTGAAGCCAAGAAGGTACAAGCATCATGCTTTCTGCAGAGCCTGTGGAACAGCGAGCCGATTAAACCCCTGTTCTTTATAGATCACCCAGTCTCAGGTATTTCTGTATAGCAATGCAAGAACAAACTAATATGTCAACCTAGTTATTTTTAAAAACCTATATATATATTTAAAATCCTCTGCTTTGTTACATTGCCGAGATACCTGTTGTACTCCATGTCTACCTATTCTTGTTTTATACATGGTTGGTTTTGTTTTATGGATTTGCTTTTTTTGTTATGTTTATAGGTTATTAAATATTCTAATCTTGAACACCTTCTCATATTTTATTTTTTAACGTGTTCTCAGGTGTGAAGTTCTTTTTATTACTGTTTTATTGTTTTTAAGTTATTGTTGTTCTTGGATTGGTTAGCTATCACTTGTGGTGCTGCTGTTCCCCAAATCTTTAGTGATTTCTGCTTGCACTGCCGTCTTTGCAGGAATAATGCCCCATGTGATCTTGGGTTGTCAGGGGCTCGTGAAGCATGGCACCTGCCCCAGCCTCACTGTGGGGGCTGCTCCTAACTGAGTCTGTGGCTTCTTCACTGCTTACTTCTAGAGGGATGTCCCTCCTGTCTTATGAGAGGTGGTCATAGTGCAAACATTAAAAGTGAAGGCTGTGCAGTGTGACAGCCTATGTCTCAATCCAAAAGCTGAGTGATCTTGAGCAAACTTGCTACTCTCTGTGTGCTTCAGATTTTCTCACCTTTACATGAAGGTTAATGGTAGCACTTACCTCAGGGTCAGAGTGTTGAATTAATGAGGTAACTGACATAAAATGCCGGATACCATGTCTGGTGTCCAGGACATCTGCAAAAAATAATAGTTTCTACTATTCCTTCATGGCATATAGAGACTACTTTCTTGTTTTAAAGTGTAGACATTGATTAAGGTAATTTTATCATTTTTTATATTCGTTTCTGTGGGTATGGAGCAGGAGGTGAAGATTTCACTCTCTGTACATCTGCCACATAGAAAAAGAAATTTGGATGGAAATATGATAATTTTTATAATTTCATTTGACAATTACTTCTGAGAGATGAAGGACTTCAAACCCAGCATGTGACAGGGAGGGTTCCACACAGGCCTTTCTTAGTCATAGATGATGAAGGAGAAACCATTTCTCCTAACAGGGTAATTTTTCTAAAGCACAAGTGTCACAGGGAAGCAGTGAATGCTTGCTGTACACAACATATTAATATAGCCACCATTTTTTAGTTATAATTAATTATGAGTTGAGCATTCGGTACGGTTTATATTATTCCTACCATACCTTTACAAGGTACATGTTATAACCTCTATTTACATATAATCAAGCTAAGGCTCAGAGAACTTAGGTGTCTTGTTTAAAGTCACACAGCTCGATATTGTGAGAGAGGAATTCATTTATGCATTGACAAGAAGCAGGGTGCAGAGGATCCAGAGGAAGCAACTGATCTCAGAGTGGCAGGGATATTTCAAGTACACCATATAAGCTGGGTCTCAGGGGCCTGGAAATCTCGGAGAAAGCCACTGGTGGGAAACTCAGCCTGCAGTAGGGATCCATTCAAAAAATTTTGAGTTCCTTCTCTTCACCTGGCACCATGGTATCAATAATGACCTACTGGGTTTCAGGTATGGTACAGTCATGATCTCTTTTAACATCCACAAAAACACAGCAGTGAAAAACCTATTATTTGCAATTTGGAGAACAAAACTGAGCCTAGGAGGGCCCAGTGACTTCCTCAAATCCTTAACACATCCTCTTGGTTGGAGTATTTATTCTTCCTCTCTCCTCACCTCCAATCTAAATGCAGTGGTGGATGGAATAGGTGTTCTGTGTGCAAAACAAAGACTATTGATGTGACTGCCCCAGGAAATTGCATACCATATTCTCCCCCCATCATAACCCTATCCCCTCTCCATAACCCATAACCATAATTCCCACCTCAGCCCACAAAGCATATCCTTATTAACCTAAACCCATTTCCTCTCCTGGAGGAAGTCAGGAGATGATTCCTTCTGCTGGATGCAGACACATGAAAGTGCTGCTAAGGTCCCAGATTAGACTGAATTTGGGCTAAGTTTTGCCAGTTACATTGATAAAAGTTTGGAATAGGGAACAATTTCAGAAGCACACCTGGTTCCTCTCAAATATTGGCAGTAGCTTTTGTGAACCCTCCTCCTGCCCCGAACTGAGTAGCACTTGGTTGAGGCCTGGTGCAGAAGAAGAAAACAAGCCAGCAACATCCTAGGGTCTTGAGATGGGAAGTTTAGAAAACAGTTCTTAATCACAGGTCCTTCTTGAACTAACAGCCCCAAATGGTGAATCACCAAGAAGACCTGAAGATGGTGTTAGGGGCCATGTGGAGAGAACATATGGTCAAGGTGTGCAGGAAGCACTATTTCTGCTAAGCCTGTCTGATTCTCCTGAGAATGGAGCATGAGTAACTGTTTGCGTTGTAACTGCCTACTGTGCCTGATTTCTATTTCACTGTTGTACTCTATCATTGCCACTTCCTCTTGAATCAAGGGAGACAGTGCTTGTCTTCTCTCCTCAGAGAAGTTTGACATCTCCCCAGCACAGATATTTGGACGGAGCAGGCTCCTGAGGTCTTCAGGATACCCATCCCAGCCTCCTGGCCCCACCCTCCTGGTCCTTTCCTGCTGCTGATTCTGCTGCGGGGATGCACAGGTGAGCACTGCCTTGGGCTAGAACCCTTTCTCTCTGCTTGCAGCCCTGAAATCCCTGCCCCTGGGCTTTCAGGGATTCCAGACAAACACAAGTGCTCCCAAGGTAGGTCAAGGACTGGGCATTGTCTGAGAGCAGAAGATCAGGGAGCTGAGCACTTTCTCTGTGGATCTGCAGCTGGCTACCAAGGGATGGAATCAGGTGATCCTTCAACCAGCACCATAATTAGTTACATTTTAAAAATAATATTTCATTTGACAAACACAGAAGAATCATTATTTAAATCCTTACCAGAAGCAGACCTGGTTCCTGTCAAATATTGAGCAGTAGGTTTTGGGAACCCTTCTGCTGCCCCAAACTGAGGAGCAGGAGCCTTGAGGCTGGAGCCTTGAGGCTCCAGGAGGCAAAACCATCTGCCCAAGGCCACAGAGTGAGCTGAGAGACAGCCTGACAGGGTGTGTGGCTCCAGGCTCAGCCCTCTGTTCAGCACCCTGAGGATGTGAAGTCTGAAACAGTGCCTGAGTTGGGCAGGGGAGCAATGTTTCCCGGGGATGTTCAGCCACTGTCCTTCTTCAGGATGCTGCATACTTTGCCCTCTGTTCCCCCTGCTTCCCACTCCTCTGTAATCTCAGTGTTACCACCCATTTTTTTGTGCCCTCTTCCTCTTTAAGAAGGAATTTGCTGCTTTCTGGGCCCTGTAATCCTTTCCTAGGGCTTGCATAACAAAGTACTACAGACTGGGCAGCTAAAATTACAGACATTTACTTCCTTGCACTTTTGGAGGCTGAATGCAAGATCAAGGTGTTGGCAGGGTTAGTCTGTACTGAGGTCTTTCTTACTGGCTCGTAGATGGCCGTCTCTGCTCTGTGTCTTATTACGTGTTCTTCCCTCAGTGTGTGTCTGTGTCCTCATCTCCTCTTCTTCTGAGATCGCCAGTCATATTAGATTAAGACCCCCCCAATGACCTCATGTAACTAAATAGCTTCTTAAAGACCCTGTCTCCAAATACAGTCAAATTCTGAGGTTCTGGGGACTGGGGCTTCAACACATGCATTTTGGGGGACACATTCAGCCCATAACAAGTACCACAATCTACCTTGGTTCTTTCGACTTTACCATGGAGAATTTATTTTCCCTTCCCCAGGACAGGCAGGATTGGAAGACCTTTCCTGGTGCAGCCTGGGAGAGCCCTGCTCACAGCCCACAGACAGGCTGCCTGTCCTCACACCCTACTCAGGCCAGGGAGCTGACCCCAGAATCACAGGGCTGGGCACAGCAGCCTCCCTGCTCCCCACTGGCCCCTGCTGTGAGTCACCTCACAGGTCCTAGAGGACAAGGTTCTCACTTTTCAAATTATCTTTCTTACATATACACTTTACCCAAATGACAGTGGTAAGAGTTCAGCAATTGAGCTCTTCCTACAAGGTAGACACAGTTCTTAGTAATTTGTGTATTTTAACTCTACTTAACTCTACTAATCCTCACAACATCCCTATTTGAAAGCTACACCTATTAACTCCTATTTGAAAACAAGGAGTCAGGCAGAGGGAGGAGCTTGTCCATTGTCCCCTACCTCAGTCAGTGGAGCAGCTGGGATTCAAGTCCAGGTGGACCAACTCCAGAGTTCATTCTTTTAGCCATGTTATGCTACTTGTAGAAATATTAGCACATGCAGGGAAGTAAACATAGGAATAATCATCACCCATCACACCAGTCAGAGAAGTGACACTCAGAGTTAAAACGCTGGTGTATATACTCCCAACATTTGTTACAAATGTGTTGGATGACTTTTATGTGCCAAATATTTTACTGAGATTTTAACAGGTTTCATAATTTTATTTAATGCACAAAACATCTTTATATAGTATAAGGACAGAACAAACTTTTATATATATTTGTGAATGCATGTGTATATATGTATACATATATATATGTGTGTATAAGTGACTATAAGTGTACATACATGTACATAAGATTTCACATTTATTGTTATCTTTTTATTTGCAATGAAATGTCTCAGAAAAGAAATGTATTTTATTTTTGTTTGAGAAAAGCATATATACTTATCATGTACAACATATTATAAAATATGTGTACATGATTAATTTGAGCTAATTAACCTATGCATTACCTTACATGTATATCACTTTTTGTGGTGAGAACTTATAAACTCTGCTCTCTTAGCAATTTTCAACAATACAATTCATGTTATTCACTCTAGAAATCATATCGTACAATACATCTCTTAAACTTATTTCTCTTATCTAAACTAAAATGTTGTATCCTTTGACCAGTATCTCCCAACTACACCCCCTCCCCTGCCCCTGGTAACCACCACTCTAGTCTCTACTTCTTTTTTTTTTTTGAGACGGTGTTTCACCCTTGTTGTCCAGGCTGGAGTGCAATGGTGAGATCTCGGCTCACTGCAGCCTCCACCACCTGGGTTCAAGTGATTCTCCTGCTTCAGCCTCCCGAGTAGCTGGGATTACAGATGTCCGCCACCATGCCCGGCTAATTTTTTGTATTTTTAGTAGTGACGGGGTTTCACCATGTTGGCCAGGCTGGTCTCAAACTCCTGACCTCAGGTGATCCACCTGCCTCAGCCTCTCAAAGTGCTGTGATTATAGGCTCTACTCTCTACTTGTGTGAGTTCAACTTTTTTAGATTCAGTGTATGAGTGAGACCATGTGGTATTTGTCTTTCTGTGCCTGGCTTATTTCACTTAGCATAGTATCCTCCAGGTTGGAAATGACAGAATTTCCTTCTTTTGTAAGGCTGATTAGAATTTCATTGTGTATATATACCACATTTTCTTTCTCCATTCATCTGTTGATAGACACTTAGGTTGATTCCATTTTTGCTACTGTAAATAATGCTGCAATGGATATGGGTGCAGATATCGCTGTGACATGCTGATGTTACTTCCTTTGGATATACACCCAGAAGTGAGATTGCTGGATCTAATGATAGTTCTATTTTTAATTTTTGGAGGAAACTCCATACTGTTTTCAATAATGGCTGTACTAATTTACATTCTCACCAACAGTGGGTTGGATTCTCTTTTCTCCACATACTCTCCAATGCTACTTAAATTTCCTCATTTTGATAATAACCATTCTAACAGGTGTGAGATGATACCTCACTATGGATTTAATTTGCATTTCTCTGATGAATAGTAAGATTGGGTATTTTTTATATGCCTGCTGGCCATTTTAATGTCTTCTTTTGAGAAATGTCTATTCAGGTCTTTGGCCCATATATTAATTGAGTGAGTTGTTGCCTTATAATTGAGTTGCTTGAGTTCTTTATATGTTTTGTGTATTGACTCCTTATCAAATGTATAATTTGCAAATATATTTTCCCATTCTGTATGTTGTCTCTTCACTCTGTTGATTGTTTTCTTGGCTATGTATGTAATCCCACATTCATTTCTATATCCACGAGAAATGCACATGTAGAAGCTTTTTAGTTTGTTGTAATTCAATTTGTCTATTTTTGCTTCTGTTGTGTGTGCTTTTGGGCTGATATCTAGAAACTGATTGCCTAGACCAATGTTACAGAACTTTTCTTCTAGTACTTTACAGTTTCAGATCTTACATTTAAGTCTTTAATCCATTTTGAGTTGATTTTTGTATGTGGTATGAGATGAAGTTCCAATTTTATTTCTCTATACATGGATATCCAGTTTACTCAATAACATTTTTGAAGAGATTGACTTTTCCCTATTGTGTGTCCTTGAAACTTTTATCAAAGATCAATTAAGTGTAAATATGTGAGTTCATTTTTATGGAGTTGTCCCATATGGCATTTATTATGTTGAGGAACAATCATCCTATATGTAATTCATTGACAGTTTTTATCACTTAAAAATGTTGAATTTTTTCATATGCATTTTTGGGGCCTGTGTTGAGATGGTCATAGGGTTTTTGTCACTCATTCTGTTTATGTAGTGTGTCACATGGAGAGATTGCTGAATATCGACCCATCCTTACATTCCTGGGATAAATCTCACTTGACTATGCGAAACACACACAGGATTTTTAAAAGACTTTTCTTATTATTTCCTTCTAACCATTTCTTAGTCTATATGAAATGCACATTAAAGAGATATTTGGTTTTCCCTGTTGCCCACACTCTCTCTTCTTTTTTACTTCTCTGATCTTACCCCTCAAAGTCCCCCAATCTGTTAAGATAAGCAATAGATAAGCAAACCTCTTGGTAAAATGCATAGTCCCTCAAAATAGAACTTCCATGCATTACTCTATTAGTGTTCCCACTTTCATGAAGGGTAGGTGTGAGGAAGAAAGAAGTGGATAAAGTTGCAGAAACTTCGGCCTATAGCATCTATATCTATATAGTAACTATATCTATAGTTATATTAGTTATATCCATATCCATAGTCATACCTATATCCTCATCATCTAATGTCCATTGAAGCCTCCAAGCTTCAGGAAATCTACTGAGTAAAAACTTTATTTTATTTATTTATTCATTTTTTTGAGTCAAGGTCTCACTCTGTCACCCAGGCTGGAGTGCAGTGTTGCGATCTCAGCTCACTGCAACCTCTGCTTCCTGGGTTCAAGTGATTGCCATGTTTCTGCCTCCTGAATAGCTGGGACCACAGGGGTGTGCCACCACCCTCAGCTATTTTTTTATTTTTATTTTTAGTAGAGACAGGGTTTTGCCATGTTGGCCAGGCTGGTCTGAAACTCCTGACCTCAGGTATCTGCCCACCTCAGCCTTCCAAAGTACTGGGATTACAGGCTTGAGCCACTGTGCCTGGCCAACTTTATAATTTTTGAACACCCTCCATGTGGCAGACACTGTTGGAAACATCTTACAGCTCTTACTTTGGATGATCATTATATCCAAGGTAGAGATTCTTATCACCCCCTGCCCCCCACCACACACACACATAGATAAGGAAACAGAAGCACAAAGCATTCCAAGGTCATTCATTGGTAATTGGCAGAGCTATGATTTGAGCTCAGGCACTCTTAATCTAGAGATCACAGTTTTCACCATTACTCTTCCCAAATACTTCTGGCCCTGATTCTATTCCATGAGATTTCTGCAGCTGCTGCTAGTATGAGTGTGTGCAGGGGTGTGGTATGAGGAAGAGGATGTGTAGTTTTCTTCTCCTGGGCTCTTCTGCTTTCTGTATGATTGCAAATTGATTTTTTCTTCACCAACTCATCTACATGGGAAATTTATTTTCTCCAAATTCAACAGAAACAATCCATTTAAAATAAAAGATTTCAGTCTCTTAAGAAAGTATCCCACTGAGCAATTCACACATTATACACATATTTATTGGATATCTACTATGTTCCAGGACCTGACATAGAAATGTTGGGTGCACTGGTGAATAAAATAGAAAAAGTAGTTTCCCTTTTGTTCCTTATATCCACTGGAGAATGACAGTAACCAATACCCATGATAAGGAGGTAAATAAAATAGTAAATTAGACAGTGAATAGTAAATTAGATAGTGCCAAAAAAACAAGAAAGTATGAGTATATGACTTATAATTTTGAATGTTTTCATATATTCCTTTTATTGATTATTTTTGTCATAGAAAGATAGCCACATTTGTCAAAGGCTTTTCTGCATCAAATGGATAATCATGTGTTTTTCCCTTTATTCCATAAATATGGTACATTACATTGTTGTCATTTGTTTACTGAAACATCCTTGGATTTCAGGAATAACTATTATCTGCTCATGGTGTATTATCCTTCTACTATGCTATTCAATTCAGTTTGCTAGTATTTGGTTGAGTATTTTTGCATTAACAAACCTAGCAGTAATAATGCCAACTGTCAACAGAATGGTGTGCAGCTGGACCTGGCAGTGATTTTAATTTTGTGTTCTAGTGGAAGCTTAGTTTCCAATGCGCTTCATATCAGGTGAGCAAAGCCTGGATGTGGGACAATTTATGGTTAATGATTGCAACAGGAAAGTATGCCTTGTAGAACTGTACTCCAGACCAGGGGATCCCAGTAGGTAACCAGTCATTTGTTGTTTTAATGGAATATAGGATGAGGCCAAGAGGGGCATTGTTTCTGCATCAAAAGCCCTGGGGAAATTCATGGCCAACATGAGTGGTGAAGAGACTCCAACAGGCATGAAAGAAGTTGGCAAAATTTTTATAGAGAAGAGGTATTTTTGTTTGTTTGTCCGTTTGTTTGAAGGCACTAACAAGAGTATTGTTTTCGATGATGTGTAAAAGAATATGTTGCCACTAGCATTTAACAGAAACTTAAAGGTGTTGGATTATATGACATTAATACGTGTGTCAAATGAATCTGTTTTAAAGATGTTGTTATCAATGTAATGTCATCTCTGTGCTCCTGAAGAAAGGTGGATGCCATTATTGATATTGAGACATGATCCCCACTTTAGGATGGAGAGTCTTGGTAACACTCCCAAAAGGCAACACAAAGCTGAAGAAAGCAGAGTACAAGAAAGCCATCAGGGTAATAGCATCTCCCAAATGGTTGAGCCAATCAGAGTAGCAAATTAGCAAGCCATGAGCATTCAAAGGGAATCTCCTAGGAACTTTCCACCCTAGTTTAGAATGATCCCATTCTCATTGCCATTAGTGTTGAAAATGGTAGAGTAAGTCCTGCTGATTGGGTCTATAAAGAACACTCTAACATGACTGTGAAAATTTCATTTGGAGAGACATATGAAGATGAACAATTTATTCTACTCATAGTTCCCAGAGAGTGGGGTATGGCATGCCAGGTAGGAAGCCATATGGAAGGAGCTTCCGTGAAGCAGGCTCAACCAAGCAGATGGGGAAGCAAGACAGATTGGAACCCCAGGCAAGTGTCTTACTGGGAGTTAGGGTGGAGGACACAAAAACCATGATGGATTCACTGGTATGTTTTAATGCCACTACTCTACTAGGTCACAGCAGAGGAGGACAAAAAGGGGAATTGTGGCAGGGACCAGCTTTATCACACTGCTGTACCTGGTCATTTGGTAGGGTGCTCACAGCTTGTTTCAGGGATGTTGAGGCATCAGGAAAATATGAATTTTTTAAATGTACACCTAACTGGACATCTTTATTTCCTCATACAATTTTGAGTGCCATGTAGCATCCTTTCATTTCCACCCAAAGCACTCCTTTTAGCGTTTTTGTAGGTAAGGTTTAGTGGTCATAAACTCTCACCACACCAGTTGGGTGTGGTGGTGGGTGCTCATTTTCATGACCTGATGCCACCCCTTCTACAGATCAGGGAAGTTTGGGCCTGGAGACATCGTGCTATTCACGCAAGGATCCATGGCTGAGGATTTATCTGAGAATATCTTAATTTCTCCCTTGTGTTTGAAGGATGTTTGCCAGGTGTAGAGTTCTTGGTTGATAGGTTTTTCCTCTTTCAGCATTTTAAACATATCATTCCTCTGTCTTGTGGCCTCCAATGCTTCTGATAAGAACTCAGCTGATAATCTTACAAGGATCTCTCGCGTGAGAGGAATCGCTTCTCTTTTGCTGCTTTCAGAATTCTTTCCTTGACTTTAATTGTCGACAGTTGGATTATAATGTGTCTTAATGTGGGTCTCTTTGACTTTATCGCTGAGTTAAATTTGGGTTTCCTTGGCACCTTAAGCTTGTAGATTCATGTATTTTATCAAGTTTGGGAAGATTTTGTTCATGATTTCTTCCAATAATCTTCTGCCCCTTTCTCTTTTTCTCTTTTCCCCCAGAACTCTAGTAATGTGTATTTTTATCGATTTGATAATGTATCATCATTCCCTTAGATTCTATTATCTTTCATTTTTGTTGTATCTATACCTCACTGTCAATAATTTCAATGATTTCATCTTCCAGTTTCTTGATTTTTTTCCCACCTGCTCACTTGTTAGAGAACCTCTTTAATGAACTTTTAGTTGTAATACTTTCAACTCTAAAGTTCTCGTTTGATTTCTTTTTATAATTTCTCTTTGTTACAGTTCTTATTTTGTTACTGTATCATAATCCTGAATTATTTTAGTTGTTTGTCTATTGTTTCCTTTAGCTCTTTGAACGTGTTGAAGACAGTGGTTTTAACATCTTGGTCTAGCATCAGGGTGGGCCCACAGTGTATCACATGAGTCCTTATAAGAAGGAGGAGGCAGGAAATTAGGAGTTAGAGAAGCACATGTGAGGATGCAAGCCAGAGGCTGGAGTGATGGGAAGACGTAACTATGAGAAAAGAAATGTTACCAGCTTCCAGAATTAGTAAAGGCAAAGAACAGAGACTCCAGAAAACATAGCTGTTTTTTAAAAAAATTGTATATATGTAAGGTGTACCACATGATGCTTTCCTATACATATACATAGTGTAATGATTATTATAGTCAAGCAAATGAACATATCCATCATCTCACAGTTACTCTGCATGTGGGTGTGTGTCAAGAGCCCATGAAATATACTCTTTAAGCAAAAATACTAAATTCAATACAATATTGTTAACTCTAGTTGTCGATATATGGCATGTTCGATCTCTGGACTTCCTCATCTGACCTATCTTCAATTTTGTATTTTTTGACCTGTATCTCACCATTACCTCCCTGCACTTCACCCTGGTCAGTACCATTTTATTCTTCACCTTTACATACTTGACTTTTCTTCTTGATTGTAACGCAGTCACACAATTTTGGGCTTCTGAATTCCAGAACTACAATATGATACATTTCTTTTGTTGTAACACACCAAGTTTTGGTAATTAGTCGTATCAGCATTAGGAAACTTATGCTATGGGTGAAAAATTCCCAGGGGCTTAAAACAATGTTATTTCTTTTTAAGCTGCATCTTCATGGTGTGTTGGGGATTCTGCATGTCACTGTCACTCAGGAATCCAGGCTGATGGAGCAGACTCCATCAGAGCCTTGTGGGTCTCTGCGGAAGGGAGAAGGTGATCCATAGAGGTTCTTGCATTTGAATGCACAGTCCACGTATTATGCTCATCATTTCTACTCATGACTCAATGGTCTAAAGCAGTTACATGACCTCAGTCAATGAAATGGTCCAGAAATTGCAATACTCCATATGGCCAGAAAGTGAAGGCAAAAATATTTAGCAAAGTATGACACTTCCAAAGAGGGCTCAGGAGCTCCATTCAGGTCCTCAACCCAAAGCTCTATCTTAAAATTGAACCTCTCTGTGCCTCATTGTCCTCACTTCTAATACAGTCTCATGTTCTAATACAGTCTCATGTTTAAGCTCTATCTTAAAATTGAACCTCTCTGCGCCTCATTGTCCTCACTTCTAATACAGTCTCATGTCACAACAAGCTACAGGCTTGTTGTGAAGGTTAAATGAGATAATATATGCAATGTGCTGAGCTCAAGCTCTGCTCCTGATATGCACTCGATCAATGAAAGTCTTTGATACACATGAGGAAACACACAGGATCATGTAAGGATGAATAAATGACTGCTTTGTCATGAAAGTGAAAGCTGAGGAGGAGTTGCAGGTGATTCAGCCTGAGAAGTTCATGTCAGTCGCAGCTGGAGAGATGTCCACTCTGCACTGCACTGCGACCTCCCTGTTCCCTGTGGGGCCTGTCCAGTGGTTCAGAGGAGCTGGACCAGGCCACGAATTAATCTACAGTCCAAGAGAAGGCTACTTTCCCCAGGTAACAACTATTTCAGACTAGACAAAGAGAAACAACACGGACTATGTTCGAGGAGCTAAATAAAAGCTCCTTAAACAAAACCACTGACCGAAGAGCCAGCAATTCTCCTTTTCATCGGTTTCCCAAAGGCTCAGAATGCACCTCACATTCAGACACTAAAGCCCATTGGTGATTGGAAAAACTCTTCCAAACATAAACCCTATCATTCCTTATTGAGATTCCACGTCAGGACATAGAGAGCTGTTCCACTCTTTGACAGCTGCAGAATAGTCCAATTTATGAAAATATCAAATTTGTTTTACAGTATTCTGTTGATAAATATGTAAGTTGCTCCCAATGTTGAACTATTAAAAGAACCCTGCAGTGGGTGACCTTGTACATGTGTTATCCTACTCAGGTGACAAATGCCCACTGGAGGTGGCATTGCTAGGTCAGAGGGTGTGTGTGTTTTCATATGTAAGAACACTGCCTAATTTCCTTCCTAGATCATTAGCAATCGAGACTCCTAACAACCCTTAAACATAGATGGAGAAGGGGGCTTTATCCTGATTTTGCAGTTATTACAGATAAAGACGCAAGTTCCCAGTTGATGCATTCCCACCCTAGGCAATCACATCGAGTAAGTGGCTCAGGTGTGACCCCAATCTGCTACTTCCTAGTGAAGTGCTCACTCCTCTTTGCCATATTATCAGCCTAATTGATCCCTGGATGAGAAAGGAGGGAGGCAGGGAGGGAAGCAGGGAGCAGCAGCTGTGCCAGAGTCTCCTCATAACCAGTTCTAGGAAGGAGGAGCCACTTGTTGCCTCTTTTAACCCACTTAGAAAGAAAAAAAACAGTGCAGCTCACTGCCAGAGCTCATTTAATTTTACACAAACATGCTCTTTGAGGTTGAAGCAAATCTGACTGATTTTCATTGTGAAAATAAAATATAAAAACTGTTCTTGGAGTTATTTCTAAACAGAACTTGTCTCTAATCCTAATGTAACAGAAATGTACTTGATGTTACATTAGAATTAGAGACAAGAGTATTCTTGGAGCAAACAGGGTATGGGTTAAAGATGAGGCACTAAAGCTCAGAGAGGAGACCTGAGTGGTGAGCAGGTCAGGGAGCCAAGGTCTGATCCCAACCCAGCCTGACTCACAGCCCCTGTCTCTGCAACCCTCAGCTATGCTTTTTAAAGTGTGAAGAAATGCTCTAACCTCATTCTAAACTCTTGCATTGCTCTGTTTTACAGCAAAAAGCATTCAACACCAAACAAACAAAAAAAGTCCTGTAGGGGTAGGAGGGGCTGGCTTTACACTCTCTTTAGAAAGGTTCTGCAGATGGCTCATTATATGTCAAGCCTGTTCCTAAAGGACAGGTCTCAGCACACATGAAGCATTTAGGACTCTTCCCCCATGTTGTGCTGTTTCTCCTTCACTCAGCAGCATCTGTGGAGCAAAGTCGGGCCTCCTGCAGCCCAGCAGAGCACGTGCCCACCCCTTCTTGGTGCTGAGGACTAAGGATGAGGAGATGAGGTATTTCGTAGTGGGTGAGTGGGGCCACTGTAAGCAAGAGTTTCCATTCTCCCCTTGGGCTGTCAGGAGCCCATAGTGTTTTATGGCTACAGGGTATCTGGGCCCGGGCACCCAGGAGGGAGGCTTCTCTCTAGAATTGCATAAAGTCAAGAATCTCAAAGGGACAATTGGGTGTGCAGTCAGTGTTGGGGCTCAAGAATTCAGGGCACTTGCTCTGTTAATGGACATGAGTGCTTGGTAGGACACAGGAAGTGCCCACTGGGACACATGGAGGACAAGGAGGCAGTGCCTTCATTTCTCTCAGCCTCAGTTTCCTCATCTGTAAAATGGTGATCATCACGACTCCTTTAGGAGAGGGGATAGGATTTGAGGTTCTCTCTGTAAATCACCTAGCACATTGTAGGCACCCCTAAATCAAGCTGTTATTTCTTGTGATCTTGGGCCAGTCTTGCCTTCCCTTGAGTCCCCAGTTTCCCTATCTGTGCAATGCTGATAATCATGCACCAAACCCACTCTGGGTTCTGTGAGGATGGGAGAGGATGTGCACAGAGTCCTGAATGGTGGTGTTGTTCAGGTTATTACTGAGCTTCCGCAGAACAGTGGTTAGTGCAGGGCAGGCAGGAGCCCAACTGCCTGGGCCACTTCCGGGCTCTGGTACTTCCTGGCTCTGTGACCTGGGACAAGGTGCTCTACCACAGTGAGTCTCAGTGTCCGCACCTGTTGATGATAACACTGACCTCACAGACTGGGGACAGAAACTGAAGGAGTTAAATCCTTTTAAATGCTCAGAGCAGCACCTGGAGTGCAGTAAATGTTCCATAAATATGAACTGTGTGATGTCGAAGCTATGAGACCTCAGATGGGTCAGTGCTTCTCCAGGCCTCAAGGATACATGGGGTTTGGGGTGGGGTCTGGTGGCTTTCGATCTTGGCTGCTCATTAGAATCATCTGGGAAATTTGAAAAAAAAAAATTTAAATCCAGCCCAAGGCTCCCTCCTAAAAAAAAATGCCAGTTTAATTGGTCTGACATGAGCCTGGGCATGCAAAGTTCTCAGTGACTCCAGAAGATTCTAATACACAGCCCCCTAGCAAAAGTGGTCCTCCATTGTGTTGAGCATTGACAGCAGCTTTTCTGGATGTGGATGCTTCAGAATAACATGGGCCAGAGACATCTCAGAAGGCCCCAGTGGCCTGGCCAGGACCCTTCCCATGGAGCAGGCCTTAGGGGACAAGGAGGAGAAGCCTGGTCTAAGTCCTGCTCAGATCCCAGCCTCAGTGTTGGGAACAACTTTAACAAGTTTGTGTTTAAACAGCACTGAAATCCCAGCAAATCCTCACTCCTCAGCCCCAGGAGCCTCCCTGCCTCCACACACGAAGATGTCATGGAGGAATCTGTTTCCTATTCCTTCCAAAATGCTTCCAGCTTCTGTAAATAGCTCCTCTGGAGGGAAGCATCTGTGATCTTGTTTGTGTTTTGAAAGCCAATTTGCCAAACTTGTTTCCTGAGGGGATTGTTCAGAAAAGGGGAGAGAATCCTCACTTGGTGGTTTCTGCTCCTTTTGTCATTTGGGTTTGTCATGAGCCGCAGGGAGCAGGGTTTGAGCCTTTTCTCGGTGTTTCTGCTCCTCTTTGTTCTGCTGCCTAAAGGATAAATGTGTAGATTTAGAAGCAGTAATGACCAAACCTCCTGAAAACAGTCACAGGGGTCATTTGTTAAGCACCTACGACATGCCAGGCTCTGTGCTTTTCACTTGTCTTCTCTTATCTTACCAGGGTGGGGTTTGTGTCCACTTTTGGTCCTTGGCCAGCCGGGCCTCCTCTCTGAGCCTCATCCTATAAAGGGGCTCACATTAGGACCCCCTCACAGGGATGGAGGGGGGTTAAAAAGATTAAAGAGAGGTATAGAGGGAGCAGGCAGCATCAGGCTCCCATAAATGGAAATTGATTACATCCTCTCATCCCGTTAGGGTCGCCATGCTGGTGGTATCTTGATAACTTCTCTTCTTCAAGTGACACCCTCTTTACTGTGCCCTCAAAATGTCTGACACATGTTAGGGAGCAGGTTAATATGTACAAAGGCAAATATGTGTGATATATGCTTCCTGGTGATTGTTGTAGAAGATGTAGGGTAGTAATTCACAATTTGGAGGTGCCCTTTAGGACCTCTCTATGGAAAGAAACTGCCTTCATTTTTCTGATTCTCTAATCTGTGTGCTTTCAGGACGCAGGATGAGTGCCTGCCTGCTTAGATGGCCTGGGTCTGTGTTTCTTGTAGTTAACTAATGATGAAAACATTAACCACCTTTGGCTTTCTCAGTACTCAGTGATCTTGTTTGTCAACCCAAACCTGACCCAACTGAAGACCCAGATTCCAAAAACGTTCCCTCTTTGGAAAGGCAGCACTTGGCACAAATTAGGCCTGCTAACAACAACAACAACAACAACAAATGATTGGCCGAAAAGCCAAAAGAAATAGCATTTATTTGGGAAATAAAGAATTGTACTTTGGGTATACAGAGTCAGAGAAGTGCTGAATAGAGTCTCATACAGCAGTGCGGGAAAGGTTTTGTATAGGGGATTTTCAAAAAAGTTGGTTTTGGAGACAATTCAATGGCTGGGCAAAAATTCTAAACTGCAAACCTGTTTTCATTGGTTACTTAAAGTACTCCAGGATGAGAGAGATCAAAATCCCACGTACCTTGACTTCAGTTGTTACTCAGATCTACAGCAACATCCTGTGGCTTGACCTTTAGCAGGTGTGGGTGCAATGTTCTTACAAACTCTCGGCTCTTCGTTAAAGCTTTAGCCTTAATTACTTCATTTTCTTTCACAGATCCTGCTGGAATATTTGTGAAAAGAATGAACTATATGGAACAAATTCATAAATACCTCAGAGAGATCTCGGTGTATTCACGAAATTTGGGTTAAAGATAGAACTGTGTTCACTTATATGAAGCATCCTCTGTGTTTGATCCAAAGCAAACAGGGCCCCATTTAATCCTCACTGCATCCCGGGAAGCAGAAATGCTGTCCTATTTTACAGAAGAGGAGCTGGATGTGTCAGGCCACCCGTCTCCTGGGCTGAGCGGCCTGGTTCCAGCTCTCACAATGGCACCACTTCACCATTGTTCCCTGTATTGGCTTCTGTAAATGCCCTCTCTTGTTGGGAATAGGCCCCCTAAAATCTGGCCATAAACTGGCCCCAAAACTGGCCATAAACAAAATCTCTGCAGACTGTTACATGTTCGTGATGGCCATGATGCCCACTCCAGACGGTTGTGGGTTTACTGGAATGAGGGCAAGGAACACCTGGCCCACCCAGGGTGGAAAACCACTTAAAGGCGTTCTTAAACCACAAACAACAACATGAGCGATCTGTGCCTTAAGGACATGCTCCTGCTGCAGATAACTAGCCAGACCCATCCCTTTACTTCGGCCCATCCCTTTATTTCCCATAAGGAATACTTTTAGTTAATCTATAATCTATAGAAAAAATGCTTATCACTGGCTTGCTGTCAATACATATGTGGGTAAATCTCTGTTCAAGGCTCTCAGCTCTGAAGGCTGTGAGACCCCTGATTTCCCACTCCACACCTCTATACTTTCTATGTATCTTTAATTCCTCTAGCGCCGCTGGGTTAGGGTCTCCCTGACCGAGCTGGTCTCGGCACTCTCTGAGATTGGTGAACTCTCCAGGGGAGGCAGGCTAGGACCAGTCCATACACAGAGGGAGACCAATCAGTAACTTTGTTCCTGTGCCCAGATTGGTGGAAGTCACCCTGTTTAGAGAGGAGAACTTTGAACTCAGGTCTGGACTTCCTCACCTCTCAGAGCCTTTCCAGCCTGGTCGGTAAAATGAGGACACCACCCTCTCCACATTATTAGAAGGATTAAAAACTAATGTCCATGAAGGTTCTTAACATGTCACACACTCATCATTAGTGATGGTCATCTCAGTCATGTCTCCTGTTTATCGATGCTCCTTTTGTAGCCAAATCCTCTGCCCCTGTGGTATCATGCACTGCAGTGAGGACCACAGCTGAGCATACAGTGAGCTTCACCTGTGAGTCCCACGGCTTCTCCCCCTGAAACACCACCCTGAAATGGTCCAAAAATAGGAATGAGCTCTCAGGCTTCCAGATCAACGTGGACCCTGCAGGAGAAAGTATGCCCTATAGCACCTGCAGCACAGCCAGGATGGTGCTGGCCTCTGGAGACCTTTGCCTTCAGGTCATCTGCGAGGTGGCCCACATCACTTTACAGGGGGACCCTCTTTGTGGGACTGAAAACTTGTCTGAAACCATTCAAGGTAGAGAATCCTCACTCCTAGCCCAATCCCATATCTGGTTGCCAAGCCTGCTCCTCCTCTCTGGCTTTTACTCCAGGGCTTGGATTTCCTGGAATCTAATTCCTAACTGTGCTGCCCACCTTCCATGCACCTAGATGTACTGGTCACTTACTATCATTTCCATGGTAGCAGCTAGATGTCCACCCACCAGGTGGTAGACATCTGTGCTAGATAGATAGATAGCTTGCTAGCTTGCTAGATAGCTAGCAAGCTCTATGCTAGATAGTTTCATTTATTTCACCAAGAGCAACTACGATTAATGAGCACCTACTATGAGCCAAGGCCCTGTGTGCCTGGTGATTTCATTGATTTTGCTGCAGTTATGACATTTCAACTGCATGCCAGGGGTTGTGCTTGCAGATTTCACTCATTCTTAGCCTAGTAGGAGCTACCAGTCCTTGAGCACCTACTGTGTGCTGGGCGTTGTGCTTAGTAATTTCATTCATATGCAAAGAGCACCCTCAATGTCTGAGCACCTGATGCATGCCTAGCTCTGTCCTGGTGATGCCCTCACCGTGGTGGTGGGAGCTACTTTATGGAGCCCTCCCTGTGATCTGTCTGTGCCACAAGGTCAGAGCTTCTGCCCTGTGCTGTTTCAGTTCCACCCTTCTTGGAGGTTACTCAACAGCCCATAAAGGCAGGGAACCAGGTGAACGTCACCTGCCAGGTGAAGAATTTCTACCCCTAGAACCTACAGCTGACCTGGTTGGAGAACAGAAATGTGTCCCAGATAGAAACAGCCTCCATCCTCATTGAGAACATGGAAGGCACCTACGACTGGACAAGCTGGCTCCTGGTGAACATATCTGCCCACAGGGATGATGTGCTCACCTACCAGATGGCGCATGATGGGCAGCTGGTGGTCAGCAAAAGCCTTGCCCTAGAGGTCTCAGCCCACCAGGAGCAGAGCTCAGAGGCCACCCTTGGTGAGGTTACTCCCGATTTTAAAATTTTGTCTCTTTCCTTAATGTTAATAGTAATAGTCATGCTTGTTATAAAATAACCTAGAAATCTATAAACATAGAGTAGATTTTTAAAGTCAGCTGTCTACCCCAAATCCCACACTCCAAGAGTCACCATTACTAAGATTTTGATGCACAACTTGGTAGATCTTTTGACACAAATATATATTAAAGGAGGAAGAGAGATGCAGGGAGATCATCTGCTCATGGAGTCCTGTGTTTTGCCTTCTGTCTCAGATGTTTACTTATGTTCTCCATTCCTTGTCAGATCAGCCCTCCTGCTGTTCTTTCTCTGACTCATTTTTGTTCTGTCCTAAACTTTTCCATCCCATCTGCGACCTCATCCCAGCAGACTCTGGCATCTGCTGTGGGAAAATCAGAAAAGGCATTTAAGACTGGACCAGGCCCCCTGGGGACCGTGACTGGTCACAGCATGAGCCTCTTCTGTGTCCTGATGCTGATATTTGACCAATAATAACCGCAACATCCCTCTGCACATTTACTACGTGCAAATTTCCGTTCATCTATACTCTCCCTTCCTGCTTCAAACATCCAGTAGTTTGGAGTTTTACAGAAGAGAAACTCAGAACTTGAGGAACAATGAGAGATGTTGGGATGTTGTTGAAGATGTCTTGTCATTAGACAAGGTGATTAGTCTAAACGAATCAAGGTAAATTTGAGGCCCTGAAGACAGGGCCACTATCAGCCTGTACGGCAAATTTGTGCTAATTAGAGAAATATTCCCTTCTGCTAGACATTGTCCCAAGGATCTGAAGTTGGCCGATATTCCCCTCTCTTTGACCAAAATATGTCCTGTTTCCCTCTCATACAATACCAGGAGGGGTCTCTGCTCCAGAAGACTTTTCAAAGGCTTGGATTCCTCCTGCATGCCCTAAGACATTAGCCTCATCTGCTGGGTCTGTGCTGGGTCACTGATTTGTCCATGTCCCTGCCTGCTGGAAGAGTGAAGATAGGAAGTGAAGGACAAACAATTTCCCCTATAATCAGAGATGCATGGAAGGTGCATAGTCACGTCCACTGCTCACTCAGTCATGCATGCACCTGCAGTTGCAAATGGAGTCCATCCTGGGTGATCTGATGATTGAGGACGTTTTTCTACAAGATCAATATTGTTATCACAGTTAATAAAATTAACAAAAATTTCCTCATATCATCTAAATTGGGTATATTTTACAATTTTCTCAAATCTCTTTCATGGCTGTTTTTTGTGTGGTGTGTGTGAGCTAAAATTGGTTTTAATTCCTCTTTAATTTTTTGGTAAAATATTCCTGTGAAAGGCTGGGTGCGGTGGCTCACGCCTGTAATCCCAACACTTTGGGAGACCGAGGTGGTTGGATCATGCGGTCAAGAGATTGAGACCAGCCTGGCCAACATGGTGAAACCCCATCTCTACTAAAAATACAAAAATTAGCTGGGCATGGTGGGTGTGTGCCTGTAGTCTCAGCTACGCCGGAAGCTGAAGCAGAAGAATCGCTTGAACCCAAGAAGCAGAGGTTGCAGTGAGCCGAGATCATGCCACTGCACTCCAGCCTGGGCGACAGAGCAAGACTCTGTCAAAAAAAGAAAGAAAGAAAGAAAAGAAAGAAAGAAAAGAAAAAGAAAAAGAAAAAGAAAGAAAGAAAGAAAGAAAGAAAGAAAGAAAGAAAGAAAGAAAGAAAAGAAAAGAAAAAGAAAGAAAGAAAGAAAAGAAAAGAAAAGAAAAGAAAAAAAGAAAAGAAAAGAGAAAGAAAAAGAAAGAAAGGGCTCCTGTGAAAATATCTGGTCTTCAAGATATATTTTCAGAAGTATTAAAATTATCAATTCAATTTCCTTAACATGTTCATATATTTCATAATGAAGGGGATACATCCTGAGTAATGTGTCATTAGCTTGAGGGAGGATAGGTAGTCAAAGAAGTAACCCTGTTCTCAGGATGCAGCAAGAGTGATGGCAGAACAGTCAATACAATAAGACTCAGCATTGGCATTCTAATTGAGCTGATTAAAGCAAAGCTATCTATAGTAGGGACTTCCCCTCTGTGCATTTTGACTTTACCTGTCCTCAAACTGACCCTTTGCTCATTATAATAGTAAAAAACACATCCCTGGGTGGAGATTTAAGATGCTAATGAGCTATGCAATGTATGAACAAGCATATACAGCCACTGCTCAGGTGCACCCAGAGGACTGCCCAGAACATGCTTATTTGCAACACCTCTTTCCACCTCCTTATGAATAATCATTGAAGACTCCCTTAAAGGGAGCCTCCCTAGTGCCAGTCTTTGCTGTCTTATCCTTATGAACAACCCGTTTTGAATCCTCTCTCTCTCTCTCAGGAGGTACCATCTATTCTGCACATAACTTTCAAAATATTCTTTTCCTTTTGCAATAAATTACTCTATGCTGCATTTCCTTTGCTGTGTGTCTCTTGTTTAAATTCTTTTAAACTAAGAAGACAAGAACCAAGGTCTCACAACAGCTATCAACAAGCTAATTTGGTTTTGGCATGACCATCACAAAGTGTACTTACATAAACCTAGAAGGGATAGCCTACTACATACTACACACCTAGGCCATATGGTATGGCCTCTTGCTCCTAGGCCACAAACCGGTACAGCATTTTACTGTACTGAATACCGTAGGCAATTAGAACACAGTAGTTTTTGTGTATCTAAACATTTCTAGCCAGATATTGTGGCTTACACCTGTAATCCCAGCACTTTGAGAGGCCAAGGCAGGGGGATCACTTGAGCCCAAGAGTTTGAGATCAGCCTGGGCAACATGGTGAGACCCTGTCTCTACAGAAAAATTAAAAATTGACTACGTGTGGTGATGCACAGCTGTAGTCTCAGTAGTGGGAGTATCACTTGAGCTCGGGAGTTAAAGGGTGTGGTGAACCGCGATCACGCCACTGCACTCCAGTCTGGGCAACAGAGCAAGTCTCTTTGTCCAAAAAAAAAAAGTAAGTAAATAAACATTTCTAAACATTAAAAGGTGCAGTAAATGTATGATATAAAATATTTTTTAATAATTTTTTTAAAAATATTTTTTAAAATGGTACACATGTATTGGGCACTTCTCATGAATGGAGCTAGCAGAACTGTTTGCTCTGGGTAAGTCAGTGAGTTAGTGATGCATGCACGTGAAGTCCTAGGAAACTACCCTATGTAGACTTTATAAACACCATACACCTTGGCCATGCTAAATGTATATACATTTTTTATTTTTAACTTTCTTAAAGAGCTGGGGTCTCACTGTGTTGCCCAGGCTGGAGTGCAGTGACTACTCACAGGTATGATCCTACTGCTGATCAGTATGACAGTTTTCACCTGCTCCGTTTTTGACCTGGGCTGGTTCACTCTACCTTAGGCAACCTGGTGGTCCCTCCTCTTGCAGGAGGTTAGCCCATTGATTCTGAACTTAGTGCACACACTCAATCCAGAACTTCTGGGCTCAAGCAATCCTCCTGCCTCAGCCTCCTGAGTAGCTGGGACTACATACACATGACACAATGCCTGGTCTAGGCTATGCTAAATTGATTTTTAAAATATTTTGCCTTGTTCAATAATATATTAACCTTAGCTTGCTGTAACATTTTCATGTTATGAGGTTTTTAATTTTTTAACTTTACTTATTAGTAACAACACTCAGCTTGAAACAAACACATTTTATAGCTGTACAAAAATTTTTTTCTCTTTACATCCTTATTCTATGAGGTTTTTGCTAGTTTAGAACTTTGTCTTTTTTTTTTTTCTTTTTTAAACTGTCTTTGTTAAAAACTAAGACCTCCCACGCACATTAGCCTGGGCCTACAGGGTCAGGATCAGCAATAGTGCTGTCTTCCACCTTCGCATCTTGTCCCACTGGAAGGCCTTCAGGGGCCATAACCCGCCTAGAGCTGTCATCTCCTAGGAGAACAATGCCTTCTTCTGGAATCCCTCCTGAAGGACGTGCCTGAGGCTCTTTTTTTTATATATATCCAAAAAAGACCAGATTTTAATTTATATTTAAACGTTCCTAAAAATCAACAAGACCCAGCAGCCCAACTATAAATGGGCAAAATGACATAAATAGTACACATAAAAAGAAAAACAAAGGGCTTTTAAACTTGTGAAAATATACATAACCTAACCTTCAATAAGGGAAATGGAAAATTAGACTAAGTTGTGAGGCTCTTCTTGAGGAGGCGTCACTCCTTTCAGAAACAAGTCCATGGCTTCCTTGCAATGTATGAATACCTGAGTACAAGCTCTCTCAACCCCCTCCTTCCAGTAGGAGAGCCTGGCACCGGGAGATGGGGTGACTGGAAAGAAGGAGCCTCTTTCCCTGGTTTCTGCCTTGGGTTGGATCCAGGGCATCCAGGGAAGGACTCAGATTCAAAAGTTTTGGAGCCTTGTTGGGCCCAGGTAGCTTTGGATGGGGTAAGCGGAGGCCCATCCCAGGTGGCCCCTCTCATGGCTCCTCCTGGAGTCTCATGATTTCTAGGGCTCATGCCAGCTCCTACTGCCCCACTCCTTGTAGCTCTCCTCCTGGGCCCCAGGGCCCTGCTGGGGGTTGATGTCTCTGCCATCTAACATCCACTGAAGCAGAGGCCTGACTGTAAGTGTGGGGATAGAAGGGCTGGCCAAGGGTTGCCGCAGAAGGGCAAGGCCAGCCGGAGGGCCCAGCTCACACGCCATGCAACATCAGGCTCAGTGGAGTTTAGAGAAGGTAACCGAGCTCCCTCTGCACCCTTGGGAGTCTCAGGAAACCCTCTAAGAGGCTCCCAGCCCCAGGAAGTGTGTGGGTGCTGCAGGAAGTGGGTTACAGCAAGGCTGTTCAAAGGTGTCCACGGTGCCTTAGGGGCCTGCTGGGGAGGTGAGAAGAGGGTGCTAAGTGAGGGGCAACTCTGTAGGTGGTCCCTCACAGGCCACCTCTAGATTATTTGATGCTGGACTCCATTCTAAGGAATCCCACTGTAGAGTAATGCTGAGAAGCCCCAGATAGGCAACTCTGAAAGCTGTTCCCACTCTGATCCTCTGAGTGCCTGCGTGGAAGGGATGCGGGAAAGGGCGCCAGGACTCAGGAGGAGGGCTGAGCTGGCACAGTCCTATCTCAGAGCTGCCTGTCCAACCACCACAGACATCTCAGGAGGAGATCAGCACCGGGAACATAACAGGCTCTCCGGAAACATTTCCTGAAGGATGAGCAGATGATTAAACCTGGACGTGTTTTCCCACAGCTCCTTCCTTCCTCCCCTGCCATGTGGAACCCTCAGTCTCTGCCACCTTGATGCCCCAGAGTGGAGTCTTCACACATGGTCCTGAGCAGGGGCCAAGGAATGGGGCTCTGGGCACTGACTCACAGCATCCCCCTAGAATGTGAGAAACACATCAAATCTGAATACACTAGGATTCCTTGCATCCATCACTTTGAGACAGGCCATAAACCACAGACTCTCTCCAGCTTTTCCGTACTTATTCTGTCTTCTGGATTCCCGCCTACTCCATCTCCCCAGCCTTGTTGAGGTTCTCTATTGCCTCTTGAATACAAATGAACCCCCATCCCAGTTTTAAGGGAAAAAAACAGTTCTCTTTCCTCTTTGTTTAAGCATCCAAGATAGTTTGAATATTTGTTCTCTCTAAATCCCATGTTGAAATTTGATCCCCTATGTTAGAGGTAGGGCCTGATGGGAGGTGTTTGAGTCATGGGGGCAGATACATCATGAATGACTTGGTGCCGTCTGCAGTAATAACTGAGTTCTTGCTCAATTAGTATTCACAAGGTTTGATTGTTACAAAGAGCCTAGCACCTCCCTCTTCTCTCTCTCTCTTCCTTCCTCTCTCACCATGTGATGCCAGCTCCTCTTTGTCTCTCACCATGAGTAGAAGCAGTCCGAGGGCCTCATCAGAAGCAGATGCTGACACCATGCTCTTGTACAGTCTGCAGAACCACAAGCCAAATAAACCTCTTATTTATAAATTACCCAGCCTCAGGTATTTCTTTATAGCAACACACGTGGACTAAGACAGTGTCCTACTCCTCACACCTAAAAAGAAAGCAGTTCTCCCTCCTCTCTCTGGGATGGAAACACTAGTTGTTTCTGACAATCTGCAACTTTCCTAACCCTGTTGCTCATGGCAGGAATGCCGCGACAGTTCAAAAGCTTTGGAGTCCTCTTTGATTTCTTTTTCATTTACACGCAACATTCAATTATGCCTTCAAAGTGCTTATGTCCACTGATGAGATGATAAACGTATAACAGTTGACTCTTCAAAAGGAAAAAGAAGGCCGATTTATAGCGCTTGTCAATTTTGATAGTGTAAATACTCCCAATGTAGCCAGTTTCAAGCTTCCAACAGTTTAACAACCAGATTGCAAAATTCCTTAAAGTTTGACAGTTGGCTGTCTTGAACCAGCCCAAGCCTGCTCCAGTACACCACTGAGTTATATTTATAACCTGCGTGCTTCTCACCTCCATCGCTCCTTCCTGGTCCCAATCAGTATCATCTCTTCCAAACTGTTGCTATTGTCTCTACTGGATTGCAGTTTTCAGTCACGATGATTTTTTTTTATTTTTTGAGATGGAGTCTCGCTCTGTTGCCCAGGCTGCAGACTGGAGTGCAGTGGCACGATCTCGGCTGACTGCAAGCTCTGCCTCCCAGGTTCACGCCATTCTCCTGCCTCAGCCTCCCGAGTAGCTGGGACTACAGGCGCCCACCACCACGCCCGGCTAATTTTTTGTATTTTTAGTAGAGACGGGGTTTCACTGTGGTAGCCAGGATGGTCTCGATCTCCTGACCTCGTGATCCGCCCGCTTTGGCCTCCCAACGTGCTGGGATTACAGGCGTGAGCTACCGCGCCGGGCCATGATTTTTTTTTTTTTGAAAAGTCAAATCCTGTCATTCCTCTGAGTCTTCCCCAAAACAGCTGCATGGCTCACTCTCTTCTTTCCTTCAAGTAAGTTTCTGCTGAAATTTCACTTTATTAAAGACACATTTTGTAAACCATGGTGAGGAAAAATAGTCATTTTCCTCTCCTACCCTAGAATTTCAATTCCTCTTATCCTGATCAGTTTTTCTCCTCAGCACTGTATTATATTACCACGTGTACTTATTTTGCATGTCCTCACTTTGCATGGCAGTGCAGGATTGTAAAAATAACTGGAAACCATGAAGCCCTGGTAAACAACTCTACATTCAATGGGAAAAATAATGGTTGTTCTGTGATCCTCATAATTGTTGTCAAAGTATTAGAAACTGTCATATTGTCAGTTAGAAATGTAGCAGGAAGTTCAAATATTTAGTATACTGTAATTCAAAGCATTAGAAACATTGAGAGTTAAATTGTTTTATTTCTTTCTAAAAATGTATCAACAGTAGTTGGAACAGTGCTTGCCTTTGTCTTGCATATTTACTATATGGAACAAGCGAAAGAACAATAGGACACTCTGGTATATTTTTAAGTGATTGCTTTTCCTTTCCGTGTCCTGGGAGCACAAGTGAATATTTCTCCTATATTCACTCTGACGAGCTAACCAAGCTCCCAGAGATAAAACTCACAAAAGTGTGGGAGACCTCCGTTATTGGGTCCTCCTCGAGTTTGTGTCTAAGACTGGCCCACACTGAGCCTCAAGAAATTCTTCAATTACAGTGCAGGCTTTCCTTCCCCGGCACTGGTTCCCACAGAGGTTTTGGCTTCAGGAAGTTGTGATTCTCTATATTACCCTGCCCAACTCCTCAATTCTGGGGACAGTGGTTTGCCCTGTGACCTCGTTTTTCTGACAGATCTAAGAAGAAATGTCACTTTTGATTTGCTCAGCTGGTTCCTTGGTGTTGACTTAAGGGACTTTTTGCAGGGGTTGTGCAGGGGACTGGGTTTCATCCCAGAAAGCTGCTACAGCCACAAGCCCTCAAATGTGCCACATCTGGAATTATGGTCTCTGAAATTGCAAGCTCAGTCCTTAGCTACAGAGCCCTCTTGGTCTGGGCTGTCAATGAGGAAGGGTCATGGGACCCCTGGCATGAGATGAGTGCCTCTGAAACAGAGAGCAGGTTCTGGGGCAGTGGACCTCTCTCCAGTACTGGCTAAATCTACCCAGGCCTGGGAACCCCAAGCACAGACATCCACAACTTCCCAGAGATGGCAACTGTGTCCACTTCCTCTTTCACAATGGAGGATTGTCCCAGTCTCATGGCCCTTTCTCCCTACAGCTACCTCACTCCTCAGACAACATAGCAGATAAGCAGATGCCCTCCTTTCCTGCAGAGTAGAGTCTGGATTCTCTCCATGAGACAGTCTGACAGGGCAGGCAATGTCCATCCCTGTCTCCCAGCCCATCTGGACAGCCCCTGCCACTTCCTCTGCTACCAGGACTCACAGGTGAGTGAGTGCAGCCTGCTCTACATGAGTGTATTTCTACATGGTGTCTCCTCACCCTCTCAGCCCATGTTACCTGCTCCTATTGATTTACATTTGGGAGCATTTTCTTCTCTCCCATCCCAGCATGAGACAAGATTTGGAACAGCTTTTCCATGAGCATTTGAGTAGACCCTTACTGGGGTCATATTGATTCCCCCAGACGTCATGCCTATAGCATGCCCCTGGTGCTGGTAATGACTCCATGATTCTAGGGCTGGGCACATGACCTCAGCTCATCATCGTCGTACTCCACCTCCACCAGCCACTGGCCAAGGTTGTCACACAGCATCATAAATTCTTGAGGGCAGAGGATCTGTTTTTTAAAATTGTTGCTATTACCAAAACACTACCTAATAACGATAATATCTAACTACTATCTATAATGATAATGGTAATACTGAATATATAACTTTTGGAGGACATGGTCAGATAGTATTAAGTAATTTGCATATATTAGTTCATTTAATTCTCATCACAAACTTATGAAGATGGTATGATTATTCTCTCCGTTGTACACTTGGGGAAACTCAGGAAACAGGGAAGTTAATAGTGACCCCAGGATCACACAGCTGGGACCCATTAGAGCTGGATTTCAGACCAGGAAGTTTTGATTCTTAAGCCCACAGTCTTACATCTTTAGTCTTCTGGAGCATCCACTGGCTCCCAGTTTCTCATGTGTCCCAAAGTCGTCCCTGGTTATCTGCACCTGCTGTGATGAGTCAGGGTGAAATATGGCAGATAAAGGAGAATTTTGGCTCATGGACTCCCAGGTTCCTGGTCCTCTCAAACATTCAGATTTTATCTATGCTTCCCCAAGTCACCTAAATTTAAATTTCAATTCTCCACGTGATTTCCACAAAAATTGTAAGCATCTGTGTACTTAGTTGATCTTTACTGAAGGATTGAAGTTCACAGGAAGGCACTTGCTGCTCTAAGCACAGATTCTGCCATCTTCCTGACACTATACTATGCATTTTTGAGTCATATACGCCCAATTCTTATTTTTGGAGACATAATACTTTATGACTCACACCTCTCAAAGTAATGTAGTAATGTGGATAGGTAAAAATAGAGCAATAGGAAAAGATATACCACAATATTGTGGTATATTTTTACCTATCCACATTACTTTGTTTGGGTGTGTCTCTGTGCTGTACCACAGGAAATTTCCCCTACATAATCACCCAGCTTACTAACTTACTATTATACTTATTTATGTATAGTCAGCTAGTCAACCTATTAAGTTTTTTTAAAAAATTTCAGCACTGATTATGTTTTCATTTCCAAAGTCTGTGTTTTGGTATTTTTTCAAGATGGTTGTTGTTACCTCATGCCCGCCTATTTCTGTTTCATATTATTACATGCCTGATGTTGGTTTATGAATTTACTTCTCTTTTGTTTTCCTTATAAGATCATTAAGTATACTAACTTTAAAGAACTTTACACATTTTGTTTTTTCATATTTGCTCAGGTGTGAAGTTCTTTTGATTGCTATTTGTTTTTGAGTTATTGTTTTTCTTGAATTTGTTAGCTGCAGTGCTGTTCCTCAAATCTTTGGTGATTCTTGCTTGCACTTCCGTCTTCCCAGGAATAATTCCCCATGTGATCATGGGTTGTCAGGGCCTCGTGGAGCATGGCACCTGCCCCAGCCTCACTATGAGGGCTGCTCCTAATTGAGGCTATAGCTTCTTCTCTGCTTTCTTCCTGAGGGATGTCTCTCCCTTCCTGCAAGAGGTATCATAGTACAACCATTAAAAGTGAAGGCTGTGGAGTGTGGCAGCCTATGTTCCAGTTCTAAAAGCCGGGTGATCTTGAGCAAATTCATTACTCTCCATGTGCCTCGGGTTTTCTCACCTGTGAAAGGAGGTTAATGGTTGAGCTTACCTCATGGGGTCAGAGCAATGATTTAATGACATTACCAATAGAAAAATGCTTGGCACCATATCTGGAGCACAGGAAACTCTCAATAAATGATAGCTGTTATAATTCCTTCATGTCATATAGAAGCCAATTGCTTGTATTCAAGTGTAATTAGACATTGATTCATATATTCTTTTCATTTTGTGTTTTCACTACTGTGGGTGTGGAGAAGGAGGGGAAGATTTCACCCTGTGTACATCTGCCACATTAAAACAGGACTTTCAATTAAAACATGATAACATTTACAATTTGATTTGACAATTATTCATGACAGATTAAGAACCTAAAACCCACATGTGAGATGAAGGATTCTGGACAGGTCTTTCTTAGTCATAGATGCTGGAAGAGAAATCATTTCTTTTAACAAGGTGGCTTTTCTAAGGCACAACGGTGGCAGAGAACCAGTGGACTCTTCCTGTACACAGAAAATAATTATAGCCATGTTTTTTTGCTTATAATTAATTATGAGTCAAGCATTCAGTATGGCTTATATTATTCCTACCATAGCTCTACAAGGTGCATATTCTAACATTTATTTACATACAATCAAACCAAGGCTCAGAGAAGTAGTGTCTTTTTGAAAATCACACAGCTGGAAATTGTAAGAGGAGGAATTAATCTATGGTTGAACAAGGAGCGGGATTTAGAGAATCCAGAGGGAGAAACTGATTTCAGGGTGGCAGCGAGAGTCCAAATACACTATATAAGCTGGGTCTCAGGAGGCCTGGGTTGCTGGGAGAAAGCCACTGGTGGGCAACTCAGCATGCAGGAGGGATCCATTCAAAAGCAACATTTGAGTTCCCGCACTTCACCTGGCACCGTGAGTATCAATAATGACCTACTGGGTTTCAGGCATGATATGCTCATTACCTCTTTAATCGTCACTAAAACACTGCACAAAAAGACTTACTATTCCCAGTTTAGGAGATTGAAACTGAGCATAGGAGGGCCCAGCGACTTCCCCAACTCCTTGGCACACACTCTTGGCAGGAGCATGGATTTTTCCTCTTTCCTCATTTCCCATCCGAACTCAGTGATGAATGAAATAGGTGCTCTGTGTGTAGAAGAAAGGGTATTGAAATTGATGCGACGGCCCCAGGAACCTGCCCACCATAATCTTCCCTCATGATAACCCTATCCCCTTTCCATAACCCACAATCCCCACCTCACTCCACAAAGCAGTTGCTTATTACCTCAAACCCAGTTTCTCTCCTGGAAGGAGTCAAGAAATAATTCCTTCTGCTGGGTGCAGGCACATGAAAGTGCTAAGGTCCACAAGAGACTGAATTTGGGCTAAGTGTTGCCAATTATAGCAATTTGGAATAGAAAATCATTTCAGGAGAAGATCTGGTTCCTCTCCAGTGTTGAGCAGGTCCTGTGAACTCTTCTCCTACGTCCAGCGGAGTGGCATTTGGTTGAGGCTGGTGCAGAACAAGACCACAAGCCAACCACATCCTAGGGTCTTGAAATAAAGACTTTAGAAAACAATACCTAACAACAGATCTTTCTTGACTTAAAAGCCTCAAATGGCAAATCACCAAGAAGACCTGAAAATGGGTTTGGGGACACGAGGAGGGAGCACAGGTCCCAGGCAGGCAGGAAGCATTATTTCTGCTAACCCTGTCTGATTATCCTGAAAATGGAGCACGATTAACTCCTTGCTTTGTAGCTGCCTACTGTGCCTGATTTGTAAGTCACAATCTAGAAGCAGGTTACTGTTGCATTCCATCATAGCCACTTCCTCTTGAATTGAGGGAGGCAGGGCTTGTCTTCTGTCTTCAGAGCAGGGCCTGACATCTCCCCAGAACAGACGTTTGAACAGAGCAGGCTTCTGAGGTCTCCAAAATGCCTGTCCCAGCCTCCTGGCCCCATCCTCCTGGTCCTTTCCTGCTTCTGACTCTACTGCTGGGACTTACAGGTGAGCATTGCATTGGGCTAGAACCCTTTCTCCCTGCTTCCTGGACCTAGCCTTGCCCCTGGACTTGCAGCAATTTCAGATAAGCACAAGCACTGCCAAGGAAGGTCAAGGACTGGACATTGTCCAAGAGCAGAAGATCAGGGAGCTGAGCACTTTCTCTGTGGATCTGCAGCTGGCTACCAGAGGCATCAAACCTTGTGAGGCTTCTGCCACCATCACAATTAGTTACATTTTTATAATATTTTATTTGACAAACACAGAAGAATCATTATTAAATCCTTACCTGTCTTGAGTCCTCCTACCCATTTTTGTGTGCCCTCCTCCTCTTTAAGAAGTTCCACATTTCATGCTTACAGCGTCCTATATTCCTTTCTTAGGGCTTCCACAACAAAGCACCACAGACTCAGTAACTAAAACAATAGACATTTACTTTCTTTCTTTCAGTTCTGGAGGCTGAATTGCAAAATCAAGATGCCAGCAGGGTTAGTTTCTACTGAGGTCTTTCTCCTTGGCTTGTAGAAGGCCATCTCCTCCATGTGTCTTGACACATGGTCTTCCTCTGTGTGTGTCTGTATTCTCATTTTCTCTTATGAGAACATCAGCCATATTGGATTAAGGCTCCCCGCCAGTGACCTCATTTAACTAAATTGCTTCACCCATTTATGCCTAGTGCTCCGTTATTGGATCACTAAGCTTGCGGGAGTTATTTATATCCTACTGCTCAAGGGCATCGCCAAGGTCTGATTTTTCAAATTAAAAAAAAATTGCAACCTCGGGCATAAATGGGTTAAAGACCTTGTCTCCAAATATGGTCAAATTCTAAGGCGCTGGGGATTGGGGCTTCAACCCATTCGTTTTGGGGGCACATTCAGCCCATAACAGGCACCACCATCTCCCTTGGTCATCTTGACTTTCCTCTGGAGAATTTATTTTCCCTTCCCCCAGGCAGACAGGATTGGGAGGTCTTTCCTGGTGCCACCTGAGAGAGCCCTGTTCACAGCTCCCAGACAGGCTGCCTGTCTTCACCCCTTTTTCAGACCATGCAGCTGACCCCCGGTCACAGGGCTGGGCACAATAGCCTCTCAGTTGCCCACTGGGCCCTGCTGTGATGTCATCTCACAGGTCTTAGAGGGCAAGGTCTCACTTTTCAAATTATTTTTTTTACACATACACTGTACCCAAATGACAGCAGTAATAGTTCAGCAATTGCTCTCTTCCTGTAAGGCAGATGCACTTCTTAGCATTTTGTGTGTATTAAGTCAACTAATCCTCACAGCATCCCTGTGTGGAAGCTATAACTCTTGTGCTCTATTTGCAAATGGGGAGTGAGGCAGAGGCAGGAACCTGTTCATTGTCCCCTACTTCAGTCCATGGAGCAGTTGGGATCAAGTCCAGGTTGACCAGTTCCAGAGTTTATCACCCTTTTAACCATGTTATGCTATGTGTAGAAATATTAGAAAATGCAGGCAAGCAAACATTAGATTAATAATCACCCATCACACCAGTCAGAAACAATCAGAGGTAAAACACTAGTGTATGTATGTTTTCCCAAAATGTTAAAAATGTGTTGGATGGTTTCTATGTGCCAAATATTTTACTGAGATTTTTAAATTTGTCATAATTGTAATTAATGCACAAAACAACCTTATATACTAACATGATAAGCCAAACTTTTATATATATTTGTGAATGTGTATATATACACATTATATACACATATATATGCACATGTGCCTATGCATGTACATGTACATGCACAGATGAGATTTCATTTTTAATCATTGGTTCTCTTTCTATTTTCAGTGAAATTTTTAACAAAATAAATATTTTATTTTATTTTTATTTGACAAAAGTATGTATACTTATGTACAACATATTAAGAAATATGCATACATTGTGGAATGACTAATTTGAACTAATAAACATATGCATTACCTTACATATTTATCATTTTTTATTGTGAGAACTCGTAAACTCTGCTCTCTCAGCAGTTTTCAAGAATACAATTCATATTATTAAGTATAAACACCACATTGTACAATAGATATCTTGAACTTATTTCTCTTATTTAAATTGAAATTTTGTATCCTTTGACTAATATCTCCCCAACTACACCCCCTCTCTAGCCCCCGATAAACACCATTCTACTTTCTACTTCTATGAGCTCAACTTTTTAGATTCTTCATACGTGAAATCATACAGTGTTTGTCTTTCCGTGCCTGGCTTATTTCACTTAGCAGAATGTCCTCCAGGTTCATCCATGTTGTTGCAAATGACAGGGTTTCCCTTTTTGTAAGGCTGATTAGAATTTCATTGTGCATATATGCTACATTTTCTTTCTCCATTTATCTGCTGATAGACACCTAGGTTGATTCCATATCTTGGCTTTTGTAAATAATGCTGCAATGGACATGGGAGTGCAGATATATGTGTGACATGCTGATGTCATTTCCTTTGGATATATGCCAGTAGTGAGATTACCAGATCAGATAAGAGTTATATTTTTAATTTCTTGAGGAACCTGCATACTGTTTTCACTAATGGCTCTACTAATTTATATTCCCACCAACTGTCTGCAAGGGTTCCCTTTTCTCCACATCTTCTCCAATACTAAATTTCCTCTTTTTGATAATAGCCATTCTTAAAGGTGTGAGATGATAGCCCACTGCGGTTTTAATTTGCATTTATCTCATGAATAGTAAGGTTGGATTTTTTTTTATACGCTGACTTGCCATCTTAATGTCTTCTTCTGAGAAATGTCTATTCGGATCTTTGGCCCATATTTTAATAGGGTTGTTTTCTTATGGTTGAGTTGTTTGACTTCCTTATATATTTTGTATACTGACTCCTTATCAGATGTATGGTTTGCAAATGTTTTCTTCCATTCTATAGGTTGTCTCTTCACTCTGTTGATTGTTTCCTTGGCTGGGTAGAAGCTTTTTTAGTTTGTTGTTAATGCCTTTTGTCTATTTTTGCTTTTGTTGCCTGTGCTTTGGGGCTCAAATCCAAAAATGTATTGCCAAGACCAATGTCATGAAACTTTTCTTCTAGTTCTTGTACAGTTTCAGATCTTACATTTAAATCTTTAATCCATTTTGAGTTGATTTTTGTATGAGGCATGAGAAGAAGGCCTAATTTCATTCCCCTACACATGGATATCCAACTTTCCCAGCACCACTTTTTGAAGAGACAGACCTTTCACCATTGTGTTTTCTTCACACTTTTGTCAATAGTCAATTGAGTGTGAATGTGTGAGTTTATTGCTGGGCTCTCTGCTCTGATCCATTGGTCTATATATCTCTTTTTATGCCAGTGCCATGCCATTTTGATTACTTTGACACTGTAGTCAATGTTGAAATTAGGCAGTGTGGTGCTTCCATCTTTGTTCTTTTTTTTTTTTTTTTTAGATGCAGTCTTGCTCTGTCGCCAGTCTGGAGTGCAGTGGTGTGATCTCAGCTCACTGCAATCTCCACCTCCCGGGTTCAAGTGATTCCCCTGCCTCAGCCTCCCAAGTAGCTGGGACTACAGGTGTGCACCACCATGCCTGGCTAATTTTTTGTATTTTCAGTAGAGACAAGGTTTTACCATGTTGGCCAAGACGGTCTCGATTGCCTAACCTCGTGATCTGCTCGCTTCGGCCTCCCAAAGTGCTGGGATTACAGGCATGAGCCACCATGCCCGGCCCCATCTTTGTTCTTTTTGCTCAAGATTGCCTTGATGTAGCATATCACATTTGGAGATTTATGAATGTTATACCATCCTTGCATTCCTGAGATAAATCTCATGTGACCATGCTGAAACACACACAGAATTTTAAAGACTTTCTTTACTGTAAACTTCAACTCATTTTTTCAGTCTATATGAAATGCACATTGAAGAGATGTGTGGTTTTCCCTATTGCCCAGCCACTCTCCCTCCTTCCTACTTCTCTAATCTTACCACTGAAAGTCCTCCAATCTGTTAATAGAAGCAACAGATAAGCAAACTTCTCTCTTGGTAAAATGCATTTTCCCTCAAAGCAGAATTTCTGTGCATTTTTATCCTGAAATTCCCTCTTCCATGAAGGTAGAAATGAGGAAAAAAATGTGGGGATACAGGTGACACAGGTCTGCCTATATTACCTATAACTATAGTTATATTTATATCCATATCCATACCCTTATCCTTATCCTTGTCATCTAATGTCCACTGAAGCCTCCAAGCCTCAGAAATCTACTGAGCAATAACTTTACAATTTTTGAACGTTCACCATGTGGCAGACACTGTTGAAAATGCCTTACCTCTTTTACTTCATGTGATCATTATATACAAGGTAGATATTCTTGTCACCTTTCCTAACAGATAAGAAAACAGAAGCACAAAGTGCTCCAGGCTCACTCATTGGTAACTGGTAGAGCTACGATTTGAACTCAGGCACTCTGACTCTAGAGGTCACAGGTTTCACCATTACTCAAACACTTCCGGTCTTGATTCTATTCCATGAGATTTCTGCAGCTGCTGCTCTTGGGTGTGGAGTGGGCAATGTGGTGTGAAGGGAGATTGTGGTTTTCTTCTCTGGGCTCTTCTACTTTCTGTATGTTTGCAAACTGATTTTTTTTCACTAAGTCCTCTACATGGGAAACTCATTTTCTGTCAAATTCCACAGGAGCAAACCACCTAAAATAGAAGATTTCAGTCTTCGAGGGAAATGTCCCACTGAGCAATTCAAACATTACACACATATCTATTGGATACCTACTATGTGCCAGGATCTGACATAAAAACATGGGGTACTTTGGTAGAATAAAAGAGAAAAAGTAATTGCCCTTTTGTTGCTTACATCCACTGCAGAGAAAGACAGTAATCAATACACATGATAAATAGGTGAATGAAAAAATTAATTTTTGACAATGATAAGTGCAATAAAAATAAAGTATGAGTAGGTGAATGTTATCATCTTGTGAAAGTATTCATATATCCTTTTTATTGTTTTCATCGTAAATAGATGTACAAATTTACCAGATGCTTTTCTGCATCAAAATAGATGATCATGTGTTTTTTCTATTTATTCTATAAATAAATATTTGTAGAATACCATATTGTTTGTCTGTCATTTGTATATTGAAACATACTCATATTCCAGGAATAAATACCACTTGTTCATGGTTTATAATCCTTCTTACATGCTGTTCAATTCAGTTAGCTAGTATTTGGTTGAGGATTGTTGCATCAACAAATCCAGTAGTAATAAGGCCACTGTCAACAGAAAGGTGTGCAGCTGCACCTGACAAATTTTAATTTTGTGTTTCAGTAGAAGTTTAAGTTCCAGTGGGACCCATTTCAGATGAGCAGGGACTGGCCTGTGAGACAACCAGTGGTTAATGCTTGCAACAGGAAATATTCCCCCTAGATCTGGACCACAAGCCAGTAGATTCTAGTAGATAACCAGTCATTTTTTGTTAGAATGAAGTAAAGAACAAGGCAGAGAGGGGCTTTTTTGTTTTGTTTTATTTTTTGTTTTGCGTTAGAAGCCCTGGGGAAGTTTATGACCATCAGGAGTGGTCTAGAAATTCCAAGAGGAATGAAAATCATTGCCAAAGTCTCTAGAGAGAAGAGGTATTTTTGTTTGTTTGAAAGCACTAAAAGGAGTGCCTGTTGATTTTAATTTGCAAGTAAAATTTGTAAATGTAGAATACATTGCCACTGGCACCTCAAAACAACTCAGAGATGCTGGATTATGTGATATTATTATAAGTATCACATGAGTCTTCTTTGAAGAGGTTGCTATAACATCCTGTGCTCTTGAAGAAAGGCAGCTGTCATTATTGATATTGGAATAGGATACACATTTTAGGATAGAGAGTCTTGGCAGCACTCCAAAAGGCAACACATAGCTGTGCATAGCACAACACAAGAAAGGCATCAGGGCAAAAAAAAAACCTTCTCAAATTGTGGAGCCAATCAGTAGCAAATCCGTAAGCCATGAACAGTCAAAGTGCATCTCCTAGGAATTTGCTACCCCGGTTTAGAATAATCCCCTCCTCATTGCCATTAGTGTTGAAAATGGTAGAGTAAGTCCTGCAGGTTGTGTCTTAAAGGATCACTCTAACCTGGTCATGAGAATTTCATCTGGAGAGGCATAGCTGGGTAGGGCATGCCACACAGGAAGCCATATGGGAGGAGCTCCCAGGGAGTAGGCTCAACCAAGCAGATGGGGAAGCAAGAGAGATGAGAGATGAGAAGCCATTGCCTTTAATGGGAGTCAGGGTGGAGGACACCAAGAAAAAGCATGATGGGTTTTACTAGAACGTTTCAGTGTCACTAAGTCACAGAAGAGGAGGACAAGAAGAGGAATTATGGCAGGGACCAGCTTTATCACAGTGGTGTACCTGGTTTGGCAGGGTGCTCACAACTTGTTTGTGGGATGTGGAGGTATCAGGTAAATATGATTTTTTAAAAAAAATTTACATATAACTGGACATCTTTATTTCTTCATATAACTTTGAGTTGCCATATGGCATCATTTCATTTCCACCTGAAGCACTCCCTTTAGCATTTCCTGTAAGCAAGCCTTTGTGGTCATGAACTATCTTAGCTTTTGTTTATCTGAGAATGTCTTAATTTCTCCCTTGTGTTTGAAGGACACTTTCGCCAGGTATAGAATTCATGGTTGACAGGTTTTTCCTCTTTCAGCATTTTGAACATATCATCCCTCTGTCTTCTGACCTCCAATACTTTATATAAAGAGCTCAGCTGATAATCTTACTGAGGGTCTCTTGTATGTGAGGAATCGTTTCTCTCCCACTGCTTTCAGGATTCTTTGAATTTAGTTTTTGACAGTTGAATTATAATGTACCTTAGTGTGGGTCTCAGATTCTATCCTTGAGTTAAACTTGCATTTCTTCAGTGTCTTTAAATTTGTGCATTCATGTATTTTATTAAGTTTGTGAAGGTTTTGACCATGATTTCTTCCAATAATCTTCTGCTCTTTTTTCTCTTCCTCTTTTTTTTCCCCGGAACTCTAATAATGTGTATTTCAATCCACTTGATAGTGTCCCAGAATTCCCTTAGATTCTGTTCTCTATACTATACTCCATTTTCCATCCGTATCTCAGTCTTAATAATTTTAATTATTCCATCTTGCAGCTTTATGATTTTTCTTCCACCTGTTCACACCTGTTGGGGAACCCCTCTACTGAACTTTCAATTGTTGTATTTTCAACTTCTAAGTTTCTGTTGGATTTCTTTTTATAATTTCTCATTCTGGATGTTCTTGTTTTGTGAATGTGTTTATATCCCTGCTGTTTTAGTACTTTGTCCATTTTTTCCTTTACTTCCTTGAGCATTTTTAAGACAGTGGTTTTAATACTGGGTCTAGTGTCAGAGTGCACCCAACATATCAGAAGGGTCCTTATAAGAAGGAGAAAGGAGATTAATTCTTTGAGAAGGACATGTAAGGATGCAAGCAAGACATTAGAGTGATAGGAAGATGTAACAGTGAGAAAGGAATGTGGGCAGCCTCTAGAATTTGGAAAGGCAAAAACTAGCCTGCAAAAGACGCATAGCTTTACTGACAGTTTTTAAATACATATATATATATAAAATATATAAAAATATATATGACACTTATATGACATATATATATATATATATATATACACACTTCAAAGTAGAGTTCAGGAGTTCTATTCAGGTCCTCAACCCAAAACTCTACCTTGAAATTGAATCCCTTGGCTGGGCTTGATGGTTCTCACCTGTCATCCCAGCACTATGGAAAGCCGAGGCAAGTGGATCACTTGCACTCAAGTAAGGGCAACCTGAGCAGAATGGTGTGACCTGTTTCTGCAAAAATACAAAGCTTAACCTGGCATGGTGGTATACACATGTGGTTCTAGCTACTCTGGAGGCTGAGGTAGGAGGATCACTTGAACCTGAGAGGTTGAAGTTGCCGTGAGCCATGATTATGCCTCAGCACTCCAGCCTGGGCAACAGAACAGGACCCTCTCTCAAAAAAAAAAAAAAAAAAAAAAAAAGAACCTCTCTGTGCCTCAGGCCTCAGTGCCCTCAATTGTAATACAGTCTTATGTTATAGGCATGTTGTGAGGGTTAAATGAGATAATACATGCAGTGTGCTGAGATCAAGTCCTGCTCCTGATTCCTGATGTGCACCCAGTCACTGAATATCTTTGATAAACATGAGGAAATACAGGATTATGTAAGGATGAAAAAATGATTGCTTTGTGCTCCTTTTCAGAAGTGGCAGGTGAGGAGGAGCTACAGATGATTCAGCCTGAGAAGCTCCTGTTGGTCACAGTTGGAAAGACAGCCACTCTGCACTGCACTGTGACCTCCCTGCTTCCCGTGGGACCCGTCCTGTGGTTCAGAGGAGTTGGACCAGGCCGGGAATTAATCTACAATCAAAAAGAAGGCCACTTCCCCAGGGTAACAACAGTTTCAGACCTCACAAAGAGAAACAACATGGACTTTTCCATCCGCATCAGTAGCATCACCCCAGCAGATGTCGGCACATACTACTGTGTGAAGTTTCGAAAAGGGAGCCCTGAGAACGTGGAGTTTAAGTCTGGACCAGGCACTGAGATGGCTTTGGGTGGTGAGTACAACATGGACCTCCCTCATCCCCTGATGTGTGACAATAACTCAATAGTAACACCTTCCATTCTTTGAGCAACAATCAGGTGTGATTTTCAGTGCTCATTTTCAAGACCTGTTGTCACCCCCTTCTACAGATCAGGTGAGTTGAAGCCCAGGGACATCATGCTATTGCTCAAGGTAAATGATTGCTAGTAAATGATGGGAGAGACTACATCTTCAATCTGTCTGGCTCTACAGCTCTTGTCCTTCCCAATCTGGCCCAGCCCTTTGGTTCCACAAATGAGGAAACTGACAGATTGAGTGACTTGCCCAGGTACGGGGCCAGAACTCACCTTCTGCCTCCAAAGAGCGCTTCTCTCTCAGGCTGGCCAAGTATATTCTTTTTTTTATTTTTTTTTATTTATTTTATTTTATTATACTTTAAGTTTGCAACAGGCACTCACTGAGAACCCACTGTGTGCCAGACTCCGCCCTGGATGCTGTGCAAACAGCAGTGAATGAAACAGCCAATAGCTCTTCCCCACACCAAGCTTACATTCTCTTCCATTCTAATGAGGAGAAATTCATCCAGGGGATGGAAAGTGTAAATCGTGTTTTTCTTTATTTAATCTTCAGAAACATCACACAGGGAAGATTCCTGGGAGGCACAGATTCACTGTTTAGTCTAATGGCCCGGTGGGAGGAGATGCCAATAAGTCTCGCATTTGCTGTGGGTCTATTTGAAGCCTTGGGTGATTTAAGGACTGAGTCATACAGTCACTGTGGGCTCTGAGCAGAGCTGGGTCATCTCAGAATATCCTTCACCTCAGAAAAGAGGTCATACGTATGGGTGGCTCAGGGGTGCCCAATTTAAAGCAGCAATAAAACTTATTTGGGGTTTCCAGCCAGAGGCCCAGAATCCTCATCCTACCTCCTGAATCCTGGAATTTCAGCACGGGAAAGACCTTCAGACTTTCAGCCCAACTCCCCTTTACAGATGGGGGACTTAAGCCAAGAGATGATAGGGGCCTTGTCCACAGTCACATGGCCAGTTATTGATGGAATCAAAGCCAGAGTCAAGGTCCGAATAGAGGCAGGCTCCTTCCTTCCCCAGTGTTTGTTAGACACTGTCTTCATAGAAGAACCTGGTGCATCACAGGTACTAAATAAAAGCTCCTCAAACAGAACCATGGATCAGGGAGCCAGGATTTCTTTTTTCATCCATTTCCCAAAGGTTCAGAATGCACCTCACATTCAGACACTAAAGCCCATTGGTGATTGGAAAACTTCTTCCAAACATAAGCCCTAACATTCCGTATCGAGATTCCACGTCAGGACATAGAACTGCTCCACTCTTTAGCAGCTGCAGAACACTCCAATTTATGGAAATATCAAAATTTATTTCACAGCATTCTGTTGATGGGTATGTAAGTTGTTCCCAAACTTGAGCTACTAACAATCCTGCAGTGGATGGCCTTGTACATGTATCACCCTCCTCAGGTGGGAGACACCCACTGGAAGTGACATTGCTAAGTCAGAGGGTGTGTGTATTTTCATATATGAGAATATTATCTAATTTCCCTCCTAGATGACATAGCAACAGGGCTCCCCACCACCCTTGAACATAGATGTGGAAGTGGATTTACCCTGATCAGATAATATAGGCAAAGACACCGAAGTTTCCAGATGGTGCCTCCCCAGCCCAGGCAGTCACAGCCAGAAAGTAGCTCAGGTGTGACTCAGATATGCTAACTCCTAGTATGGTGCTCACCCCTCTTTGCCATGCTCTCAGCCTAAATGATGACCTGGATGAGAAAGGAGGGAGGCAGGGAAGGGGGCCAGGGAGTGGCAGTTGTGCCAAAGTCTGCTTATAACCAGTGCTATGAGGGCGGAGCCATTTGTTGCCTCTTTAAAGATGAGGACACTGAGGCTCAGAGAGGAGATCTGAGTGGTGAGCAGGTCAGGGAGCCAAGATTTCCTCCCCACCAGCCTGACTTACAGCCCCTGTCTCTGCAACACTCACTCAGATGTGGTTTTTCAAGTGTAGAGAAATGCTCCAACCTTCTCTTTCCGGACTCTGGCATTGTTCAGTTCTATAGCGAAAAGCATTAAAGACGAAACTGAGGCTGGGTGCAGTGGCTCATGCCTGTAATCCCAGCACTTTGGGAGGCCGAGGTGGGTGGATCACCTGAGGTCAGGAGTTCAAGACCAGCCTAACCAACATGGAGAAACCCCGCCTTTACTAAAAATAAAAAAGTAGCCAGGCATGGTGGCGCATGCCTGTAATCCCAGCTACTCGGGAGGCTGAGGCAGGAGAATCGTTTGAAACTGGAAGGCGGAGGTTGCGGTGAGCCGAGATTGCACCATTGCACTCCAGCCTGGGCAACAAGAGCAAAACTCCATCAAAAACAAAACAAAACAAAACAAATGAAAAAAAGTCCTGTAGGGGTAGGAGGGGCTGGCTTTACCCTCTCATTAGAAAGGTTCTGCAGATGGTTCACTATATGTCAAGCCTGTTTCTAAAAGACAGGTCTCAGCACACATGAAGCGTTTAGGACTCTCCCCCCATGTTGTGCTGTTTCTCCTTCACTCAGCAGCATCTATGGAGCAGAGCTGGGCCTCCTGCAGCTCAGCGGAGCACATGCCCACCTCTTCTTGGTGCTGAGGACTAAGGATGAGGAGATGAGGTATTTCCTACGGGGTGCGTGGGGCCCATAGGAGCAAGTTTCCATGCTCCCCTCAGGCTGACAGGAGCCTACAGTGTTTTGTTTCTGGCCACAGTGTATCTGGGCCTGGGCACCCAGGAGGGAGGCTTCTCCCTTGAATTGCATGAAGTCAAGAATCTCGAAGGGACAATTGGGTGTGCAGTCAGTGTTGGGGCTCAAGAATTCAGGGCACTTGCTCTGTTAATGGACATGAATGCTTGGTGGGACACAGAAGGTGCCCACTGGGACACATGGAGGACAAGGAGACAGTGCCTTCATTTCTCCCAGCCTCAGTTTCCTCTTCTGTAGAATGGTGATCATCATGAACTCCTTTAAGAGAAAGAAAATGATTTGAGGTTCTCTCTGTAAATCACCTAGCACATTCTAAGCATCCCCAAATTGAGGTGCTATTTCAAGGTTGTGTAATCTTAAGCCAGTCTTGCCTTCCCTTGAGTCCTCAGTTTCTCCATCTGTGTGATGCTGATAATCATGGCCCCTACTCTAGGTTCTGTGAGGATCGGAGAGGATGTGCACAGAGCCTCTAATGGTGGAGGTGTTTGGTTTATCACTGAGCTTCGGCAGAACAGTGGTTAGGAGAGCATGGGCAAGAACTCAACTGCCTGGGCCACTTCCCAGCTCTGCCATTTTCTAGCTCTGTGACCTGGGACAAGGCAACCACCACTGTGGGCCTTGGTGTCCTCATCTGTTGATGATAACACCGACATCACAGACTGTAGGGAGAGCTGAAGGAGTTAAATCGTGTAACATGCTCAGAGCAGCACCTGGAATGCAGTAAATGTTCCATAAATGTGAACTATGTGATGCCGAAGCCATGACATCTCAGGTGGGCCAGTGCTCCTCCAGGCCTCAAGGATACATAGGGTTTGGGGTGGAGTCTCGTGGCTTTCAATCTTGGCCACCCATTAGAATCACCTGGGAAACTTTGACAAAAATGTTTACAAACCTGGACCCAGGATCCGCCTAAAAATGCCAATTTAATTGATCTGACATGGGCCTGGGCATCTGAACTCTTCATGACTCCAGAAGATTCTCATACCCAGTCCCCTGGCAAAGGTCATGCCCCATAGGGTTGGGGCTTTGAGAACAGCTTTTCTGGGGGTGGGTGCTTCAGAAAAAATGTGGTGGAAACAGCTCAGGAGGCCTCAGTGCCCTGGCCAGGACCCCTCCCACAGTACGGGCCTCAGGACCCAAGATAGAGTTTCCGGATAAAGCCCTGCTCAGATCCAGCCTCAGTGCTGGAGGACCTTCCATCGTGAAAACGTGTGTATCTAAAAAAGCATTGAAATCCCAGTACTCCTCAGCCCCAAAAGTCTCCCTGCCTCAAAACACCAAGATGTCACGCAGGACAGGGCCAAGATGGCTGACTAGAAGCAGCAGTGATAGGAGGCTCCCATGGAAAAGAACCAAAAAAGCGAGCAAATCCTGCAACACCAACTGAAGTATCCAGGTTCTGACATCAGAATTGACTAGGCAGCTGGCGAGACCCATGGAGAGGAAGAGCAGTGTGGTGCAGAGGCCCCCTGAGAGCTGTGGGGCAGGGAAGCCCCCACCCCCCAGCCAAGGGAGGCGGTGAGTGAGCTGCTACCTAGCCTGTGAAACAGTGCTTTTCCACAGAACTGTGCAACCCTCAGATCGGGAGATCCCACTCATGAGCCCATGCCACTGGGGCCTAGGGTCTCAATCAACCGCAGAGCTGCACAGATTCTCAACAGCCATTCAGCTAGAATCTCCTTAAGGCTGCTGAGCTCCCAGGGGAAGGGGTGGCCAGGATCACAGCTGTGGCTGCCTGCTGTTTAAGCCATCTGAGCTCCTTGGGAGATAGGCGGCAGCCAGCATTGGGACTGATCGCTGCCTAACACACTAAGTTCCCAGGGCAAAGGAAAGGTGGCAGCCATCTCTATAACTGCAGGCCATGCTTTTCCCCTGCTGGAGCCAGGGAGGCTAGATGGCTTGTTCCCAAGAGGTATCCCCCACAGCCCAACACACCAGCTGTGGCAAACTGCGGCCAGAGTGCCTCTTCAGGACTGACCCATCCCTCCTCACTGGGCAGGGCATCCCTCCAGGAACTCCAACAACTCCAGCCTGGGGCTCAGGGACAGAACTCTGATCTCCCTGGGCCTGAGCCCCTAGGGGGAGGGGTGGCCACTGTCTTAGTCTGGCAGACTTAGTTTTTCCTGCTGCTAGTTCTGAGAAATCTGGGCAGCCCAGATAAGTGGGTTTTTCCCCACTGAAGCACACTCACTCCACCAAGGGACAGTCAAAGTGCTTCGTTAAATGGGTCCTGCTCCCCGTGCCACCCAACTGAGAGAGACCCTCTAATAGGGGTTGTCGGACACCCTACACAGGAGTGCTCCTACTGGCATTAGATCAGTGCCCCTCGAGGTTAGAGATCCTAAAGGAAGGAGCAGGCACCCATCTTTGCCGTTCTCCAGCCTCTTCAAGTGACATGTCCAGGTGTGGGAGCCAACCAGATGAAAAGGCCCGAAGTGAACCCCCAACAAACTGCAGCAGCCTTGCAGGGAAGGGACCTGACCATTGAAAGAAAAACAAACAGAAGGCAACAACAGCATCAACAAAAAAAGTCCCCACAAAAACCCCATCCAAGGGTCAGCAGCCTGAAAGATCAAAACTAGACATATTCATGAAGATGAGAAAAAATCAACAGAAAACACTGACAACCCAAAAGGCCAGAGTTGCCTCTTCTCCTCCAAATGATCGCAATGAGTCTCCAGCAGGGGTGCAAAACTGGACAAAGGAGGAAATGGACGAATTGACGGAAGTAGGCTTCAGAAGGTGAGTAATAACAAAGTCCGCTGAGCTACGGGAGCAAGTTCTAACCCAACGCAAAGAAGCTAAGAATCTTAATAAAAGGTTACAGGAGCTGGTAACCAGAAAAACCAGTTTATAGAGGAACATAAATGACCTGATGGAGCTAAAAAACGTAGCACAAGAACTTTGTGAAGCATACACAAGTATCAGTAGTGGAATCAACCAAACAGAAGAAAGGATATCAGAGTTTGAAGACCATTTTGCTGAAATAAGACATGCGGACAAGATTTTAAAAAAAGAATGAAAAGGAATGAACAAAACCTCAGAGAAATATGGGACTATGTAAAAAGATCACAGCTATGATTGATTGGAGTACCTGAAAGAGATGGGGAGGATGGAACCAAATTGGAAAACACACTTCAGGATATTATCCAGGAGAACTTCCCCAACCTAGCAAGACAGGATAACATTGAAATTCAGGAAATATAGAAAACACCACTAAGATACTCCACAAGAAGATCAACCCCAAGACACATAATAATCAGACTCTCCAAGGTCAAAATGAAGGAAAAAATGTTAAGGGCAGCCAAAGAGAAAGGCAAGGTCACCTACAAAGGGAAGTCCATCAGACTAACAGAACAACTATTAGCAGAAACCCTACAAGCCAGGAGAGAGTGGGGGCCAATATTCAACATTCTTAAACAAAAGAATTTTCAACCCAGAATTTCATATCTAGCCAAACTAAGCTTCATATGTGAAGGAGAAATACAATCCTTTCCAAACAAGCAAATGCTGAGGGATTTGTCACCACCAGGCCTGCTTTGCAAGAGCTCCTGAAAGAAGTACTAAATGTGGAAAGGAAAAACCGGTACCAGCCACTGCAAAAACATACCAAAATATAAAGATCAGTGATCACTATGAAGAAACCGCATCAACTGGTGTGCAAAATAATCAGATAGCATCATGAAGACAGGATCAAATTCACACATAACAATATTAAGCTTAAATGTAATTAGGTTAAATCCCCCGATTAAAAGACATAGACAGGCAAATTGGATAAAGAGTCAAGCCCCATCGGTGGGCTGTATTTAGGAGACCCATCTCACATGCAAAGACACACATAGGCTCAAAACAAACGGATGGAGGAAAATTTACCAAGCAAATGGAAAGCAAAAGAAGGTGGGGGTTGCGATCCTGGTCCCTGACAAAACAAACTTTAAACCAACAAAGATCAAAAAAGACAAAGAAGGGCATTACCTAATGGTAAAGGGATCAATTCAACTAACTATCCTAAATATAGGAGCACCCAGATTCATAAACCAAGTTCTTAGAGACCTACAAAAAGACTTAGACTCCCACACAATAATAGTGGGAGACTTTAATACCCCATTGTCAATATTAGACAGATCAATGAGACAGAAAATTAATAAGGATATTCAGGGCTTGAACTCAGCTCTGGATCAAGTGGACCTAATAGACATCTACAGAACTCTCCACCCCAAATCAACAGAAAACACATTGTTCTCAGTGCCACAAGGCACTTATTCTAAAATCAACCACATAATTGGAAGTAAAACACTCCTCAGCAAATGCAAAAGAACGGAAATCATAGCCAACAGTTTATCAGACCACAGTTCAATCAAATTAGAACTCAGAATTAAGAAACTCACTCAAAACCACACAACTACATGGAAATTGAACAGCCTGCTCCTGAATGACTCCTGGGTAAATAATGAAATTAAGACAGAAATTAAGAAGTTATTTGAAACCAATAAGAACAAAGAGACAACATACCAGAATCTCTGGGACACAGCTAAAGCAGTGTTTAGAGGGAAATTTATAGCACGAAATGCCCACATCAGAAAGCTAGAAAGATCTGAAATCAACACCGTAACATCACAATTAAAAGATCTAGAGAAGCAAGAGCAAAAGCTAGCAGAAGACAAGAAATGACTAAGATCAGAAACGAACTGAAGGAGATAAAGACACAAAAAACCCTTCAAAAAATCAATGAATCCAGAAGCTGGTTTTTTGAAGAAATTAACAAAATAGACCACTAGCTAGACTAATAAAGAAGAAAGGAGAGAAGAATCAAATCAATAAAAAAAAGATAAAGGGGATATCACCACTGACCCCATGGAAACACAAACTAACATCAGAAAATACTATGAACACTTCTACGCAAATAAACTAGAAAATCTAGAAGAAATGGATAAATTCCTGTACACATACACCCTCCCAAGACTAAACCAAAAAGAAATCGAGCCCCTGAATAGACCAATAACAAGTTCTGAAATTGAGGCAGTAATTAATAGCCTACCAACCAAAAAAAGCCCAGGACCAGATGGATTCACAGCCAAATTCTACCAGAGGTACAACGAGGAGCTGGAACCATTCCTTCTGAAACTATTCCAAATACTAGAAAAAGTGGGACACCTCCCTGACTCATTTTATGAAGCCAGCATCATCCTGATGCCAAAGCCTGGCAGAGACAGAACAAAAAAAGAAAACATCAGGCCAGTATCCCTGATAAACATCAAAGTGAAAATCCTCAATAAAATACTGGCAAACTGAATCCCGCAGCACATCAAAAAGTTTATCCACCACAATCAAATTGGCTTCATCCCTGGCATGCAAGGCTTGTTCAACATACGCAAATCAAGAAATGTAATCCATCACATAAACAGAACCAATGACAAAAGCCACATGATTATCTCAATAGATGCAGAAAAGGCCTTCAATACAATTCAACACCGCTTCATGCTAAAAATTCTCAATAAATTAGGTATTAACGGAACATATCTCAAAATAAAAAGAACTATTTATGACAACCCCACAGCCAGTATCATAATGAATGTGCAAAAGCTGGAAACATTCCCCTTGAAAACCAGCACAAGACAAGGACGCCCTCTCTAACCATTTCTATTCAACATAGTATTAGAAGTTCTGTCCAGAGCAATCAGGCAAGAGAAGGAAATAAGGGGTATTCAAATAAGAAGAGAGGAAGTCAAATTGTCTTTGTTTGCAGATGACATGATTCTATATTTAGAAAGCCCCATCATCTCAGCTCAAAAACTCCTTAAGCTGATAAGAAACTTCAGCAAAGTCTCAGGATAGAAAATCAATGTGCAAAAATCACAAGCATTCCTATACACCAACAATAGACAAGCAGAGAGCCAAATCATGAATGAACTCCCATTCACAATTGGTACAAAGAGAATAAAATGCCTAGGAATACAACTTACAAGGGATTTGAAGGACCTCTTCAAGGAGAACTACAAACCACTGCTTCAAAGAAATAAGAGAGGACACAAAAAAATGGAAAAACATTCCATGCTCATGGATAGGAAGGATGAATGTCATGAAAAAGTAATTTATAGATTCAGTGCTATTCCCATCAAATTACCATTGACATTCTTCACAGAATTAGAAAAAAAACTACATTAAATTTTATATTGAACCAAAAAAAAGCCCGTATAGCCAAGACAATCCTAAGCAAAAAGAACAAAATTGGAGGCATCACGCTACCTGACTTCAAACTATATTACAAGGCTACAGTAACCAAAACAGCATGGTACTTGTACCAAGACAGACATATAGACCAATGGAACAGAACGGAGACCTCAGAAATAATGCTGTACATTTACAACCATCTGATCTTCAACAAACCTGAGAAAAACAAGCAATGGGGAAAGGATTCCCTATTTAATAAATGGGACTGGGAAAACTGGTTAGCCATATGCAGAAAACTGAAACCAGACCCCTTCCTTACACCTTATACAAAAATTAACTGAAGATGGGTTAAAGACTTAAATGTAAAACCCAAAACCATAAAAACCCTAGAAGAAAACCTAGGCAATACCATTCAGGCATAGGCATGGGCAAAGACTTCATGACGAAAATGCCAAAAGCAATTGCAACAAAAGTGAAAGTTGACAAATGGTATCTAATTAAACTAAAGAGATTCTGCACAGGAATAGAAACTATCATGAGAGTGAACAGGCAACCTACAGAATGGGAGAAAATTTTTGCAATTTACCCATCTGACAAAGGTCTAATATCCAGAATCTACAAGGAACTTAAACAAATTCACAAGAAAAAAACAAACAACCCCATCAAAAAGTATGCAAAGTATATGAACACACACTTCTCAAAAGAAGACATTTATGTGGCCAACAAACATATGAAAAAAAGCTCAACATCACTGATCATTAGAGAAATGAAAATCAAAACCACAATGAGATACCATCTCATGCCAGTCAGAATGGTGATTATTAAAAAGTTAGGAAACAATAGATGCTGGTGATGCTGTGGAAAAATAGGAGCGTTTTTACATTCTTGGTGGGAATGTAAATTAGTTCAACGATTGTGGAAGACAGTGTGGTGACTCCTTAAGGATCAAGAACCAGAGATACCATTTGACCCAGCAATCCCATTACTGGGTATGTAACCAAAGGAATATAAATCATTCTACTATGAGGACACATGCACATGTATGTTTATTGCAGCACTATTTACAATAGCAAAGACATGAAACCAACCCAAATGCCCATCAGTGATAGACTGGACAAAGAAAAGGTGGTACATATACACCATGGAATACTATGCAGCCATAAAAAAGAATGAGTTCATGTCCTTTGCGGGGCCATGGATGAAGCTGGAAGCCATTATCCTCAGCAAACTAACACAGGGACAGAAAAGCAAACACCACATGTTCTCACTCATAAGTGGGAGTTGCACAATGTGAACACATGGACGCAGGGAGGGGAACAACACACACCAGGGCCAGTCAAGGGGTGGGGGGGTGAGGGGAAGGAGAGCATTAGGACAAATAGCTAATGCATGCAGGGCTTAAAATCTAGATGATGGGTTGATAAGTGCAGCAAACCACCATGGCAAACATAACCTATAAAACAAACCTGCATATTCTGCACTTGTATCCCAGAACTTAAAGTAAAATAATAATAATAAAAAGATGTCACAGAGGACTCTGTTCCCTCCTCCTTCCAAAATGCTTCCAGCTTTACCTATGATCTTATTTTTTTTTGAAAGCCAGTTGTCCAGACTTGGTGGTTTTGCTTTTATTATCATTTGAGTTTTTCATGAGCTGCAGGGAGCAGGATTTGAGCCTTTTCTTGGTGTTTCTACTCCTCTATGTTCTGCTGCCTAAAGAATAAGTGTGTAGATTCAGAAGTAGTAATGACCAAACCTCTTGATAACAGCCATAGGGCTCATTTATTAAGCACCTGCTGCATACCAGGCTCCGTGCTTGCCTTCATCCTCCCTCACCTTACCAGGGTGGGTTTTTTATCCACTTTTGGCCCTTTGCTAGCTGGGGTCCCCTCAGACCCTGGTCCTATAAGGGACTCACACGAGGACCCCCTCAAGGCAATAAAGGGAGGATTAAAGAGCTGAGAGGTACAGAGGGAGCAGCCAGCATCAGGCTCCCAAGAAGCCCTCAATAAATGGCAACTGGTTACAGCCTCTCAGCCCTCTAGGGATGCCCAATGCTGCTGGTGTCTTGATGACTTGACTTCTTCAAGTGACACCCTTCTTACTGTGCCCATAAAATGTTTGCATGTGGTAGGGAGCAAGTTAATATTTACAAATGCAAGTATGCCTAATATGTGTTTCCTGATGACTGCTATAGGAGGTGCAGGGTAATAATTAGCAATTTGGAGACACGTTTAGGACTCATCTACAGGGAGAAACTACCCTCATTTTTCTGATTCTCCAGTTTGTGTGCTTTCAGGACCCAGGATAGATTTCTGCCTGTTGGGGTGGCCTAGATCTTTGTCTCTTGTAATGAATTAACGATGAAGAAATCACCCACCTTTGGCTTTCTTAGTACTCAGTGATCATTGTTTTTGGACCCAACCTGGCCCAACTGAAGACCTAGATTCCAAGAAACCTTCCCTCTTTTCAAATTTGGGACTTGGCACAGATTAGACCTGCTAACTAAAAAAAATAATGATTGATAGGAAGGCCAAAGGAAATAGCATTTATCTGGGAAATAAAGAGTTGCAATTTGGGAACCCTGAGTCATGGTAGTCCTGAACAGTGTCCCATAGGGCAATGCAGGAAAAGTTTTGTACTGGGGACTTTCACAAAATGTTGTTTTTGAAAACAGTTCATTGCCTGGCAGAAATGCTAAACTGCAAACTCGTATGAATTGGTTACTTAATTAGGACACTCCAGGATGAGAGAAATCAAAATCCCATGTACCTTGACTTCAGTCCATTGTTATCCAGGTCTACAGCAACATCCTGTGGCTTGACCTTTAGCAGGTGTGAGTGCAATGCTCTTACAAACGCTTGACTCCATGTTAAAGCTTTAGCCTTAACTACTTCATTTTCTTTCAAAAACTGTACTGGAATATTTGTGAAAAGAATGAAAAATATGGAATAAATTCATAAATACACAAAGAGAGAGAGCTCTAGGTATATGTCAAGTCTGGATTAAAGACAGATCTGTGTTTATTTTTATGAAGCATCTTCTGACTTTGATCCAAAGCAAAACTTCTTCCATGGCCCCATTTAATCCTTGTTGCACCCCTGGGAAGGGAAAATGCTGCTGTCCCACTTTGCAGATGAGGGGCTGCATGTTCCAGGCCACCCCTCTCATGGGCTGAGCAGCCTGGTTGCAGGTCTCATGGTGGCGCCACTTTGCCATTGTTCCCTACTTTGGCTTCTGTAAACACCCTCTCTGAGGTTGGTGAGCTCTCCTGGGGAAACAGGCTAGCACCAGTTAATACACAGAGGGAGAACAATCAGTAACTTTGTTCCTGTGCCCAGATTGGTGGAAGTCACCCTATGTGGAGAGGAGGACTTTGAACTCAGACCTGGACTTCCCTCTGGGACCTTTCCCTACACTGTCTGACCTGGGGCTGGTCGTCACCTCTTCCAACCTTTGCATCCTGCTCTGTAAAATGAGAATAAGAACACCATCCTCTCCACATTATTAGAAGGATTAAAATTAATGTATCTGAAGGTTCTTAACAGTGTCACACACTCATCGTTAGTGATTGTCATCTCAGTCATGTCTCCTGTTTATCGATGCCCCTTTTGTAGCCAAACCCTCTGCCCCCGTGGTATTGGGCCCTGCGGCGAGGACCACACCTGAGCATACAGTGAGTTTCACCTGTGAGTCCCATGGCTTCTCTCCCAGAGACATCACCCTGAAATGGTTCAAAAATGGGAATGAGCTCTCAGACTTCCAGACCAACGTGGACCCCACAGGACAGAGTGTGGCCTACAGCATCCGCAGCACAGCCAGGGTGGTACTGGACCCCTGGGACGTTCGCTCTCAGGTCATCTGCGAGGTGGCCCATGTCACCTTGCAGGGGGACCCTCTTCGTGGGACTGCCAACTTGTCTGAGGCCATCCGAGGTAGAGGACCCTCACACCCAGCCCAAGCCCACACCTGGCTGTCAAGCCCACTCCCCTCTCCCCAGGCTGTTGCTCCAGAGGTTGAATGGCCTGTAATCTAATCCCTGACTATACTGCCCGCCCGCCATGCACCTAGGTGTGCTGGTCACTTACTATCATTTTATTGGCAGCGGTCAGGGGACCAGCAATCACGTGCCAAGCTCTGCGCTAGAGAGTTTCATTTATCTCACCAAGAACAACTACTATTAGTGAGTACCTACTATGAGCCAAGTCCCTATGTGCTCGGCGATTTCACTGATTTTGCTACAGTTCTTACATTCCAACTGCATGCCAGGGGTTGTGCTTGTAGATTTCACTCATTCTTAGCCTAGTAGGAGCTACCAGTCCTTGAGCACCTACTGTGCACCAGGCACTGTGCTTGGTAATTTCATTCATATGCAAAGAGCGCCCTCAATGTCTTAGCATCTGCTGCCTGCCTAGCACTGTCCTGGTGATGCCCTCACCGTGGTAGTGGGAGTTAAGTTATGGAGCCCTCCCTGTGATCTGTCTGTGCCAGAAGATCAGAGCTTCTACCCTGTGCTGTTTCAGTTCCACCCACCTTGGAGGTTACTCAACAGCCCATGAGGGTGGGGAACCAGGTAAACGTCACCTGCCAGGTGAGGAAGTTCTACCCCCAGAGCCTACAGCTGACCTGGTCGGAGAATGGAAACGTGTGCCAGAGAGAAACAGCCTCGACCCTTACAGAGAACAAGGATGGTACCTACAACTGGACAAGCTGGTTCCTGGTGAACATATCTGACCAAAGGGATGATGTGGTCCTCACCTGCCAGGTGAAGCATGATGGGCAGCTGGCGGTCAGCAAACGCCTTGCCCTAGAGGTCACAGTCCACCAGAAGGACCAGAGCTCAGATGCTACCCCTGGTGAGGTTACTCAAAATTTTTAAATTTTGTCTTTTTCTCTCATTTTAAAAGTAATATCCACACTTGCTGTAAAATAAGCTAGAAGTCTATAAATACAAAGTAAAATTTTAATGTCAGCTCCATCCCCCCAAATCCCACATGCGAAGAGTCATGACTAGTAAGAATTTGATGCACAAGTTAATAGAACTTTTGACATAAATATATGTTTAATTTTTTTTTTTTTTGAGACGGAGTCTGGCTCTGTCGCCCAGACTGGAGTGCAGTGGCGCGATCTCTGCTCACCGCAAGCTCCGCCTCCCGGGTTCACGCCATTCTCCTGTCTCAGCCTCCCGAGTAGCTGGGACTACAGGCGCCCGCCACCACGCCCGACTAATTTTTTGTATTTTTAGTAGAGATGGGGTTTCACCGTGTTAGCCAGGATGGTCTCGATCTCCTGACCTCGTGATCCGCCCGCCTCAGCCTCCCAAAGTGCTGGGATTACAGGCGTGAGCCACCGCGCCTGGCGTACATAAATATATATTTAAGGAGCAAAGAGGCAGGCAGGGGGAACCATCTTCTCATAGAGTCCTTTGCCTTCCCTTATTCCTTGAGAGTTGTTGTGCCCGTTTCTCATCAGCCCACCCTTGTGCTCCCTACTTTTTCTAACCTCTGCTTTGTTTCTGTTTCATCCAAACTTTTCCATCCTCATTTATGACCTCATCCCAGTACACCCTGACATCTGCTGTGTATGTTTCAGAAAGACAAATGTAGTTTAAAACTGTACCAGGCCTGGCGGCTCACGCCTGTAATCCCAGCACTTTGGGAGGCCGAGGCGGGCGGATCACGAGGTCAGGAGATCGAGACCATCCTGGTTAACACGGTGAAACCCCATCTCTACTAAAAATACAAAAAAATGAGCCGGGCGTGGTGGCGGGCGCCTGTAGTCCCAGCTACTCGGGAGGCTGAGGCAGGAGAATGGTGTGAACCCAGGAGGCGGAGCTTGCAGTGAGCCGAGATCATGCCACTGCACTCCAGCCTGGGCGACAGAGCGAGACTCTGTCAAAAAAAAAAAAAAAAACTGTACCAGGCCTGCAGGTGACCATGAATGGTCACAGAACGGACCTCTTCTGTGTCCTGATTGTGATATTTGAGCAACAATAATCACAAACCCCTCTGCAAATTTACTAAGTGCAAATTTCCATTCATCCATGATCTCTGTTTTTGCTTCAACCACCCAGTAAGTCTGGAGTTTTAAAGAAGGGGAAACTAGGACTTGGGAAGTCATGGGGGATGTTGTTGAAGACCTCTTGCCTTTAGATCGGGTTATTGGTTCAAACTAATTAAAGTAAATCTGGGTCCCTGAGGACAAGGTCAGTATCAGCCTAAAATGCAAATTTGTGCTAGTTAGAGAAACAGTCCTCTTCTGCTGGGCATTGTCCCATGGACCTGAAGTTGGCCTGTGTTCCACTCCGTATGACCAAAATATGTCTTACTTCCCTCTTGTGTAATACCAGGAGGAGTCTCAACTCCAGGAGACTTTTCAAAGGCCCAGGTTCCTCCCACATACCTTATGGTGGTTAGTCTTATCTGCTGGGTCAGTGCTAGGTCACGGATTTTTCCATGTCCCTGTCTGCTGGAAGAGTAAATATAGGAAATGGAGGGCAAAAAATATCTTCTATAATCAGAGATGTATGGAAGGCGTGTGATCATGTCCACAGCTAACTCAGTCATGCATGTACACGCAGTTCCAAATGGAATCCATAGTTGGGTGATCTTATGACTAAAGACAGCATAACAAAACCAGTATCATTATTACAGTTAATACAATTTCAAATTTTTAATCACTAAATTTCATAAAATTATTAAAACAATTCCCTTATATCATCTAAAATGGAGTATACATTCAAATTTTCCTCAAATTTCTTTTATGACTATCTTTCTGTGCACTAAATTTGGTTTTAATTCATATTTAAATGCTTTGCAGTATTTTTCTTTGAAACACTTGGGCCTCAAGAATTTTTGGGGGTGTTTTAAAAGTATAAATTCAATTTCCTCAGTAGTTTAGGGTTACTCATATTATTCATTTCATATTGGGTGAGTTCCGGTAACTCGTGCCTTTTGAAGAATTTTGTGTCCATTTTATCTAAGTTGTCATATTTTTGTGTGTAGAGTTGTTCATAATATCTCCTTATTATCTTTTTGGTGTCTGAAGGGTTATGGCGATATCCCCTGTTTCAACCTCATATCTAAAATATGCCATTTCTGTTTTCTTCTTCATCAGCCTTGCTATAGTTTTTTTCCATTTTATTGGTCTTTTCAAAGGACCACTTTGTTTCCGTGAGTTTTTAAATTGTTTTTGTGTTTCCAGTTTATTCATTTTTTGCACTCTTCTTTTTATTAATTCCTGTCTCCTGCTTGCTTTGAGTTTATTTTGCTCTACTTTTTCTAGTTTCTTGAAGTGGTGATTTAATTGACTTGAGGCTTTTGCTCTTTTCTATGTCATTCCTTTGCCTCCGTTTATGGCTGGGGCTGGTGTTGGGGGATGGGTCCCAGGTGCCTGGCTGCAGGGCTGTCCCTCAGTCCTGAGGCCCCTAGTCAGTCTCCCTTCTTCCTCTCCCACCTTGGAATTTCTCCTATTCCTGATCCTTGTGATGTTTCTAGGGTTCATAGTTTTACTTCTCAGGGAGGTAAAACTGCACCATCAAGACTGGATTGCATTTGCTTTTCAGTTATTCATCCACCCACTGGCTTGGACCAGGACCAGGGCTGGCATTTTTGGGTGCTTTCGGTTTGCCAGATGTAGCATCTTTGCTCAGGTACTAAGGCTGGAAATGCATTTTAAGTTGTCTAGGCTGGCAGGTAAAATGCAAGATGCCTTGTGGTTACATAAGTGCTGCACCAGTGGCGTGGGAGCCGGGTAAGAGACTGTGCACTAGGGTTAGGTGAGTGTTCTGTTTTGACTCACGGTCATTTTGCAGTTTGGCTTTCTCTCTTCAAGTAATACTGAGAGCCAGGGTTGTGCAGAACTTACTTTGTTTTCATTTTTTATTTGATTTGGGGAGGATATTTTATACAGATAAGTAGCTATGCTGCTGCAATTGTACCCAGCAACTCTTAAGTCAACCGAAGATCTTTGAGTGCTTTGACCCAAATGTCCACTCCCACATCTCAGGGTCCCACAACTTCCCCATCAGGGCCCTACCCCAGCATAGCAACCGTTGAAGCTGAGATTCATCCTCCTCTGTGATTCTGCTACTCTTTTAATGATGTCCAGGGCCCAACCCTCTATTCTTTCTGCCCTCTAGCCACAAGAGATAAGAAAGTGCAGTGCTGCCAAGAAGTCCTCTTGCTTTCACGCTGAACCTTAACTCATAATCAATCACTCGTAGCTTCTCAGCATATTTCCCCAAAAAAAATATGCCCAGTGATAGCCATGGAACAAGTTAGTCCTTATAACTACCATTTCCCAATTTGTTTCAAAAGCCTGATGCCAAGGAATTTCCTGCCTGTGGTTACGCCATCCCAGCTTACTGCCAGTGAAAGTTTTATCAATTGCATCCCAGCCATGGTGCCCAGCCCCACTCACTGCCAGCCCTGAGGTCCTCATTGCGAGCTGATGAGTATTCAGGCTTCAAATTTATATTTTAGAGTAAGCTTTACAGACAACTTACCAAGGTCAGTTTCTCTGTAAGGCAGACTAGAGATGGATACAGGAATGCAGGAAGCATCCTGAAGAGCTGTAGGGTCAGCATGCCTCAGGAAATGGGGAGGCAGGACTGTAGGAGGAGCGAGGTGCTGAGCTACAGTGCAGGTAGAACAAAGACCCAGCTGCTCCTGCGGAGGATCCCAAGGGCTGAGAGCGTCATGTAGTGTTTTTTAATTGAGGAGAGAAGCGTGGCCTTCCTATTTTCAATTCAGCCAATCTTTCTTGTGGGCTGTCCCCTAGAAGGAGGAGTGAACTTGGAATTGGGCAGTGCAGCTTTCCTCAAGGGAGAAGAAGTCCCAGAGAGCCACCCAGCTGAGAACTGCCGGCCTCCAACACCCCAGCAGCCACAGATGCTGAGTTCTCCATTTCTTCCTTAAGGACCCACCAGCACCATTTTATTTATTTAAAATATACTGTAATATCTTTAATGGCCCAAACTGCTCGCGTTAAAAATGTTGATTTTAAAAGCCTGAACTGCTCATGTTAAAAATGCAGCGTCCAAACATGTGCTTCCCCGTAACTGAGTGTGCCCAACTAACAGAAAGATTTCAGATGACACCTGCACTGGGGTGGAGGTGGCCTAGGTGACATCTGAGGCCCTCCCAAGCATGAGACCCATTTCCGTGACTCACCAGGATGTTTTCTAGCCGGAAGGTTTCATTATGTCCAGTGTTCCATGGCTCCTCCAAGTTCTGAGAACACGGAGTCCTCCCCTTACTTCTGGGGCTAAGCAGGGAACCTGCAACTCTCATTGTGAAGCCATCCTCAAGCCACCTGCCTACCCTTTTATAGTCATTAAAATGTCCCTAGGAATTTGGACTTGTTTTGTTCCAAAGGACATGGTCTCAGGGATCAACCTAAGGAACACTAGTGATGAGCTTCTTTAGGTTTGAATGCAAGTAACCTTGTGACCCTCCCTAAAATCCATGGGCCTCAGTTTCCCTAGCAGAATGGAATGACAATCCCTGCTCCCATAGGCTTGTGAGGGTCAAGTGAGGAACCCCGTTGCCACATGTATGAATACCTGAGTACACACCCCCTCCACCTCTTCCCTCCAGGAGAATAAGCTGGCAACCTGGGACAGGATGAGTGAGAATGGGGAGCCTCTTTCTGTGGCTTCTGCCTTGTGCTGGAGTGAAGATAGCCTGGGCAGGATGCAGGTTCAAAGGTGGGGCATAGATGGGCCCAGGCAGCCTCAGATGGGGTAAGTGGAGGCCCCTACAATGGCCTCCCAAGTGGTCTCTCTCATAGCCCCTCGTCTTCCCTGATTTCCAGGCCCGGCATCATCCCTTACTGCGCTGCTCCTCATAGCTGTCCTCCTGGGCCCCATCTACGTCCCCTGGAAGCAGAAGACCTGACTGTAAGTACAAGGAAGGGAGGACAGACCAAGGGCTGTCTCAGAAGGGCAAGGCCAACAGGAAGGCCCAGCCCACATGCCATGCAGCACCAGGGTCCGTGGAGTTAAGCTCCCTCCGCACCCTCGGAAGTCTTGGGGAACCCTTTAAAAGGCTCCCAACCCACAGAAATTATGTGGGTGGTGTACAATGTGGGATGCTTGAAATGTGTTCAAAGATGTCCACAGTGCCCTAGGAGTTTCATGGAGGCAGTGATGAGTGGGTGGTCCCTTGCAGGCTATCTGTAGATTATTTGAATGCTGGGACTCCATGGGGTCAGAGAAATCCACATTGTAAACTAATGTTGAGAAACCCAAATGGGAAGCCCTGAAGGCTGTTTGTGCTCTGACCCTCTGTGTGTCTGAGTGGAAGGAATATTGGAAAGGGCATCAGGACTTGGCAGGATGGCTGAGCAGGCAGAGTTCTATCAGGACTGCCTGTCCACCAGTGACAGGTATCCCAGGAGACCAGCCCCGAGAACATAACAGACTCTCAGGAAACATGTCTTGAAAGATGAGCAGATGACTAAGTGTGGATGTGTTTTCCTACAGCTCCTTCCTTCCTCCCCTGCCACGTGGGACCCTCATCTCTGCTGCCTCCTTCCTTTCCTGAGAGGCTCAGCTTGAGAGAATGAGCCAGTGAGAAGCTTCTCTAGACTTGGCTCCAAACATCTCCCCTCCCAAGACATCTGCCTGCCCACAGGCTCCTGTTGCTCCTTCACACAGACCTGGATGCCCCAGAGCAAGGTCTTCATTCATGGTCCTGAGCAGGTGCCATGGGATTGGGCTCTGGGCACTGACTTAACGGCACCTCCCTAGAAGGCGAGAAACATGCCAAATCTAAACACACCAGGACTCCCATCCATCGCCTTGAGACTGACCGTAAACCACAGACGCTCTCCAGGTTCTCAAGAGTTATCCTGCCTTCCAGATTCCTGCCTATCCCAACTCCCCAGCCTTGTTGAGGTTCTCTATTGCCTCTTGAATACAAATGCACTCCCAAAGTGGTTTTAAGAAAATAAAAAGATTATCCTTCCTCTTTGTCTAAGGGTCCTACTCCTCACACTCAGAAACAAAGAAGCTCTCCCTGCTCTCTCTGTGATGGGAACACTAGTTCTAGCATCCTGCAGGCTTCCCCGCCCTGCTGCTCATGGCGGAAATGCTGCCGCAGTCCAAAAGCCTCCTTGACTCCCGAATCCTCCCTGATGTCTCTTTACACCCCATATTCAATTCTGCCTTCAAAATACTTATGTCCACTCGTGAGATGGTAAGTGTTTAAAAATGGACTCTCTTAAAGGAAAAAAAAAGCTGATTTGTTGTACTTGACAATTTCTGTGGTATAATCACCCCCAACATGGCCAGTTTCAAGCTACCAGAAGTTTAACAACTGGATTGCAAAATTCCTGAAACTTAACGGTTGGCTTTCAGGGGCCAGTCCAAGCCTGCTGCAGGAGAGCACTGAGTTACATCCCTAACCTGCACACTTCTCACCTCCATCACCCCTCCCTGTCCCGGCCAGCATCATCTCTTCCGGGAACACTTCTGTAGCCTCTGTTGGCTTTCATTTTTCAGCTACAGGGATTTTTGGAAAAGTCAAATTGTATCACTCCTCTGCTTCTTCCCCAACACAGCTGCATGGCTCCCTTCATCCCTCCTTCAAGCCTCTGCTCAATGTCACTTTATTAAAGGCACCTTTGGCAAACCACCCTGTACATAATATCAATTCTCCTGTCTACCCTGGCATTCTAATTTCTCTTATCTTGATTAATTTTTATTTAGCATTTATTACCATAAGCATTATAACGAATACAGGCAGCCCTCGCTTTTCACAGCAGTGCAAGATTGCAAGAATGACTGTGCAGCCGGAAACCCAGGAAAGCAATCTCCACATCCAATCAGAAAAACAATGATCATATTGTGACCTTTACAATTTTTTGTCAAAATATAGGAAACTCTCATAGTGTCAGTTACAAATGTAGAAGGCAATAAAAAATAATAAATGAATATTTATTAGTACCCTGTAATTCAAAACATTGGAAACATCAAGTGTTTCAGTATTTTATTTCTTTGTAAAAATGTTTCAAGAGTAGTTGGAAGAGTGCTTACCTCCTTCTTGTACACTTCGGATATGGAGCAAACATCCTTTCTATCTGGGTGTTTTATCACCTTCCTCTCTAAGTTTGGATTTGTTTCCAGCACCTTATCATTTGCACTTTCAGTGTCGTGAAATCTCTGCAAAAGTTCCTTTCACGTGAAGATTTTTGCTGTTGTCACATCCTCAGGGACACCTTCGCCCTATTTGTCAGTACCCCATCCCGTATCTGTTAAATTCACCTTCTCTAAGTCCTGCGGGCTGCCTATCTGAAGTTTTTCAAACACTACCAGGGTCTACGTTGCCTCACCAGCTATTCATGCTTCTATAACTCCACTGACATACAATTTGAACTTTATCTCCAGCATTTTCACTGCTCATTTATTCACTGCATTTTCACTGTGGTTGTCCAATCTCTCTTTCAATTATTTGTTTCCCAAAAATGTCACATGGGCTCATCACCAGTTACATGAGGTTGCAGTCTTATGTGAGCCTGTGCCCCTGGCCTGTGGACTTCACAAGTGCCTCTCAGTTTTTTCCCCTATGGTGGGACAGGATGGCCAGAGGGGGCTGGAGTTGGGTGCTTGCCTTCCCCAGGTAGGTTAGGCTCTGATCAAAGCCCAGCAGATTAGGCACTGGTAAAATAGTTTCTCCTGAGAGCTGGGCTTGGTAAGAAGAAAGAATGCTCTGGTGTAGTTCAGAATGATTCGCTTTCCCCTCCACACCCCCCAGGAAGCACAAGTGAATGTTTCTCTCATATTCACTCTGAGCACCTAATCAAGCTCCTGGAGGTAAATCTCACAACAGTGTTGGAGTTCCCTGCGATTGGGTCCTGCTGGAATCTGTTCCTCAGACTGGCCCACACCAAGCCTCTAGCAATTCTTCAATTACAGTGCAGGTTTTCCTACCCTGGCACTGGTTCCCATGGAGGTTTTGGCTTCAGGAAGTTGTAATTCTCTATATCATTTTGTCTAACTTCCAGTTTTGGAGACAATGGTCTGCTCTGTGACCTCATTTCTCTGACAGACCTGAGAAGAGTTGCCATTTCTTATTTGCTCAGCTTGTTACTTGATGTTGGCCCTAGGGACTTTTTGCAGGGGACATCCAGGAGTTTTGGTTCCATCCTTAAAGGCTGCTACAGTAACAAGACCTCAAACTTTCCACACCCAGAATTACAGTCTCTGAAAATCCAAACTCAGTCCTTAGCTACAGGGCCCTGTGGATCAGGGCTGTCAACTGAGGAAGGGCCAAGGGAACCCTGGCATGAAGTGAGTGCCCCTGGGACAGAGAGCAGGCCCAGAGCAGTCAAACTGTCTCCACTACTGTCCAAGGCTCCCAGGCGTGGGAACCCCAAGGTGGATATCAGCAACTTCCCAGGGGTGGCAACTCTGCCTGCTTCCTCTTTTACTATGAGACCATGCCAGTCTCGTGGCCTTTTCCTTCCACAGCAAATTCCCTCCTCAGATATCATGGCAGGTGGGGCTTCTCCTTCCCTGCAGAGCTCAGAGGCTGGGGTCTCTCCGTGATAAACTTTCAACAGAGCAGGCAATGACCATACCTGTCTTCCAGCCCACCTGGACAACCCTTGCCTCTTTATGCTATTGGGACTCACAGGTGAGAGCAGCCTGTTCTACACAGGTGTATTTATATGTAAGTCTCCTCACCCTCTCAGCCCATCTCACCCGTATCTATGGATTTCCATTTGGGAACATTTTCTTCTCTCCCATCCCAGCAGGAGACAAGATTTGGAGTACACTTTCCGTGAGCATCTGTGCAGACTCTTACCGGGATTTGCCTTTCTTTAGTCACAGTGATTTCCCGAGGTCATGCTTGTACCATGACCCAGGTGCTAGTAATGACTTCGTGATTATAGGGCTAGACACGTGACCCACACTCATCATGTGGTGGTATCTGCACATCCCCCAGCCATTGGCCAGGGTTGTCGCACTGCATCGTAAATCCTCGAGGACAGAGAGTCTGTTTTTTAAAGGTATTACTATTGCCAAAACACCACCTAATAACAATAACATCTAACTTTTGGAGCACAATCAGCAATTATTAAGGAATTTACATATATTAATCCATTTTATGACCATAACAAACCTCTGAAGTTGATACGATTACTTCCATTTTATATTTGAGAGAACTCAAGAAACAGAGATGTTAAACAGACTCCCCTGGGTCACACAGCTAGAACTGATAGAACTAAATTCAAATCTAGAAGTTCTGATTCCTAAGCCCACAAACTTAATCTTTGCTCTCCTCAAACATCCACTGACTCCTCACTTGTCCCACAGCCTTATCTCATTATCTGCACCTTCTGTCATGAGTGCAGGGCTAAACTTGGCAGAAAGAGAATTTTAGCTCATGGTTCCCCAGGCTCCTGGTTTTCTCAGACATCCAGGCTGTATCTGTACTGCACAAAGTCAACCTAAATTTGAAACTCAATTCTCCACATGATTTCCACAAAATTTTTCACTCAAATTGTATCTATGCATCTAATAGATCTTCATTGAAGGATTGGAGTTCACAGGAAGTCATCTTGCTGCTTTAAGTAGAGATTCTGCCAGAGCATGGAAATTATTCTATCAATATTTGAGTCATATATTTCAAATCATAATTTTTGGAGGCATAATATTTTGTGACTCATCTTTCAGGTTAGTTGTTACTTTCATAAAAGGAAACATTTCTCTTTCAACCATTTGTGCTTTTTACCTTAAACTATGCTTCTTAAGATAGTATTTCTATTGCAACATTTTCAAACTATTTTGTGTTACAGCTTTTACCATTGCTATATTTATACCTATTGTCATTAATTTGTTTGGGTGTGTCTCTTGGTGCTGGGTTCTAGGAGATTGTCCCTGCATGAAGAGCCAGCTCACTAACTTACTACTCACTTATGTACAGTCAGCTACTCAATTGATACGGTTTGGATCTGTTTCCCCACCAAAATCTCATGTCAAATTGTAATCCCCAGTGTTGGAGATGGGGACTGCTAGGAAGTGATTGAATCGTGGGGGCAGGTTTCCCTCTTGGTGCTGTTCTTGTAATAGTGACTGAGTTCTGGTGAAATCTGGTTGTTTAAAAGTGTGTAACACCTCCACCCTCTCTATCCCTCATGCTCCAGCCATGTGAGATAAGTCTCCATCCACTTTGCCTTCCACCCTTACTGTAAGTTTCCTGAGGCCTCCCAGAAGCCAGGTGTATGCAAGCATCATGCTTCCTATACAGCCTGTGGAACCAGGAGCCAATTAAACCTCTTTTCTTTATAAATTACCCAGTCTCAGGTATTTCTTTTAGCTGTGTGAGAATGAACTAATACAAAAAATTGATACTGACGAGTGGGGCATTGCTATAAAGTTACCTGCAAATGTGGAAGTGGCTTTGGAACTGGATAATGAGCAGAGGTTGAATGAGTGTAGAGGGCTTAGAAGACAGGAAGATGAGCGAAAGCTGGGAATTTCCCAGAGATTTCTTGAATTGTGACCAAAATGCTGAGAGTAATATGGACCATGAAGTCCAGGCTGAGGAGGTCTCAGATGGAAATGATGAACTTCCTGGCAACTGGAGCAAAGATCGGTTTTGTTAAGTCTTGGCAAAGAGCTTGGAGGCACTGTGCCCCTGCCCTGGGGTTCTGTGAAACATTGAACTTGGGAGTGACAATTTAGAGTATCTGCTGGAAGAAATTTCTAAGCAGCAAAGCATTCAAGAAATTTCCTGAGGCGGGGCACAGTGGCTCACGTCTGTAATCCCAGCACTTTGGGAGGCCGAGGCGGGCAGATCACGAGGTTAGGAGTTTGAGACCAGTCTGGCCAATATGGTGAAACCCCATCACTACTAAAAATACAAAAAAAAAAAAAAAATTAGCCAGGTGTGGTGGTGCATGGCACACACCTGTAGTCCCAGCTATTTAGCAGGCTGAGGCAGGAGACTCACTTGAACCCGGGAGATGGAGGTTGCAGTAAGCCAAGATTGCACCACTGCACTCCAGCCTGGGTGACAGAGTAAGACTTTATATCACACACAAAAAAGAAGAAGCAGTTACCTCGCTGCTTCTAACAGCCTAATTCATATGCGTAAGCACAGAGATGACTTGAAACTGGAACTTATATTTAAAAGGGAAGCAGAGCATAAAAGCTTGGAAAATTTGCAGCCTGGACATGTGGTAGAAAAGAAAGGCCCATTTTCAGGCAACGAATTCAAGCAGGCTGTGAACTTTGCATGAGTAAAAAGAAGCCAAATGCTAATATTGAAAACACTGGGAAAAGCCTTCAAAGGCATTTCAGAGACCATCTCTTTACAGGCACAGAGGTCTAAGAGGGAAGAATGGTTTTGAGAGCCAGAACCAGGGCCTGCTGCCGTGTGCGGCCTTCGGACACGGCCCACTGCACCGCATTCACTCCAGCTCCGGTCTTGGCTCGAAGGGGCTCGAGTATATCTCGGCTGCTGCTTCAGAGGGTGCCAGCCATAAGCCCTGGTGGCTCCATGTGGTGTGAATTCTGCAGGTATGCAGAGTACAAGAGCTGAGGATTGGGAGCCTCTGCCTAGATGTCAGAGGATATATGGAAAAGTCTAGATGTCCAGGCAGAAGCCGGAGCCCTCATGAAGAACCTCTACTAGGGCAGTGCAGAAGGGAAATGTGGGGTTGGAGCCCCCACACAATTCCCACTGGGGCATTGCCTAGTGGAGCTGTGAGAAGAGGGCCACCTTCCTCCAGACCAAAGATTGATAGATCCACTAGCAGCTTGCACCATGTGCGGGGAAAAGCTGCAGGCATTCAACACCAAGTATGAGAAGAACCGTGGAATTTGAATTTTGCAAAGGCACAGAGGTGGAGCTGCTCAGGTTTTGGGAGTGCACCCCTTCCACCAGTGTGCCCTGGATGTGAGACATGGAGTCAAAGGAGATAATTTTGGAGCTTTAATGGCTGCCCTGCTGGGTTTCAGATTGCATTGCATAGGCCTGTATTCCCTTTCTTTTGGGCAATGTATCTCTTTTGAAATGGGAGTATTCCCATTCAGATGGCTAAAGCCAATGCCTATACCCCATTGTATCTTGGAAGTAACTGACTTATTTTTAATTTTACAGGCTTATAGGTGGAAGGCACTTGCCTTGTCTCAGATAAGACTTTGGACTTTTGACTTAATACTGAAATGAGTTAAGACTTTGGGGGACTTCTGGGAAGGTATGATTGTATTTGCAATGTGATAAGGACATAATATTTGAAAGTGGGCAGGAGAAAATGATAAGGTTTAGATCTGTGCCACCACCAAAATCTCATGTTGAATTGTAACCCCCAGTGTTGGAGGTAGGACCTGGTGGAAGTTGGCTGGGTCTTTGGGTCAGATTTCCCTCTTGGTGCTGTTCTCATGATGATGAGTGAGTTCTCATGAGATCTGGTGGTTTTAAAATGTGTGGCACCTCCCTACTCTCTCTCTCCCTCCTGCTCTGGTCGTGTAAATATGCTCACTTCCCCTTCACCTTTTGCCATTTTTGTAAGTTTCCTGTGACCTCCCAGAAGCTGATACCAGCATTATGCTTCCTGTAAAGCCTCTGAAACCATCAGCCAATTAAACCTCTTCTCTTTATCAATTACCCAGTCTCAGTCTCAGGTATTTCATTATAACAATTATAGAAAGAACAGATTAATACATCCACCTATTTGTTTTTTAAACAATTTAGCACTAATTATATTTTTTCAAAATTCTTCTTTTTATTACTTTTCTCAGATACCTGTTGTTACTGCACACCTACCTATTCTTGTTTCACACGTGACTTTGTTTTATGGATTTACTTTCTTTTCATTATCTCTATAAGGTTACTAAATATGTTAATGTTAAAAATATTTTCACATTTTATATTTTTATTTTCTGAGGTATTATTTTCTAAGATGTTATTTTCATTGCTGTTTTTGTTTTTTAGTTATTGTTTTTGAATTTATTATGATGTCGCTTTTCCCCAAATCTTTAGTGATTACTGCTTTCACTGTAATCTTTACAGGAATAATGCCCTGAGTGATCATGGGCTGTCAGCACTTTATGGAACATGGCACCTATCCCAACCTTGCTGTGGAGGCTGCGCCTAATTGACGTTATGGCTTCTTCTCTGCTTCCTTCCTGAGAGATATCTCTCCCTTCTTATGAGAGGTGTCATAGTGAAGGCCATGGAGTGTGACAACCTGTGTTCTAGTTCTAAAAGCTGGGTGATGTTGAACAAATGTATTATTGCCTGCGTGCCTCAAGTTTCCTCACCTATAAAAAAAGGTTAATGGTAGTGCTAATTTCATGGGACCAGAGTGATGAATTAATGAGGTAACTGACAAAATGCTTGGCACAGTACCTGGAGCACAGGACATCTGCAGTAAACACAGCAGCTACTACCCTTCATGTCATATAGAGACTAGTTTCTTGTTTTAAAGTGTAATTTGGCATCGATTAACATGATTTTATCATTTTTATATTCATTTCTGTGAGTGTGGAGCAGGAGGTGATGATTTCACCCTCTGTGCATCTGCCACATTGAAAAAGAAATTTGCATGGAAATGTGATGACTTTTACAATTTCATTTGACAATTACTCATGATAGGTGAAGGATTGCAAGCCCAGCATGGGAAAGAGAGGTTTCCAGACAGGTCTTTCTTAGTCACAGATGATGGAGGAGAAACCATTTCTCCTACCAAGGAAATTTTTCTAAAGCACAAGTATGTCAGGGAAGCAGTGAACTCACCCTGTACACAAATGTAATTATAGCCACAATTTTTTGGTTATAATTAAATATGAATCAAACCTTCTGTATGGCTTATATTACTCTTACCATATCACTACAAGGTGCATGTTATAACTTCCATTTACATGTAATTAAGTTAAGGCTTAGAGAAGTCAAGTGTCTTGTTGAAAGTCACACAGCTGGAGATTGTAAGAAAAGGAATTCATCTACAGATTGACAAAAAGCAGGGTGAAGAGGATCCAGAGGGAGAAATTGATCTCAGAGTGTCAGAGGTAGACCAAGTACACCATAAAAGCTGGGTTCCAGAAGTCCGGGGAACATGGGAGAAGGCCACTGGTGGGAAACTCAGCATGCAGTAGAAATCCATTTAAAAGCAATATTTGAGTTCCCTCTCTTCACCTGGCACCATGAGTATCAATAATAACCTACTGAATCTCAGGGATGTATAGTCATTATCTCTTTTGATGTTCACTAAAACATGGCAGTGAGACTTATTATCCCAAGGTTAGAAGGCAAAACTGAACCTAGGCAGGCCCAGTAACTTCCCCAACTCCTTAGCACATCTTCTTAGGGTATTTATTCTCCCTCCCTCCTCAGTTCCCATCTGAAGACAGTGATGAATGGAATAGGTGTTCTATGTGCAGAGCAAAGAGTATTGAAATCGATGTGACTGCTCCAGGAATCTGCCCTCCATATTCTCCCCCATAATAAACATATCCCCTTTCCATAACCCATAATCCCCACCTCACCTCACAAAGCAGATCCTTATTACCCTAAGCCCACTTCCTCTCCTGGAAGAAGTCAGGAAATAATTCCTTCTGCTGGGTGCAGGCATATGAAAGTGCTAACGGCCACATGAGACTGAATTTGGGCTAAGTTTTGCCATTTATATTTATAAAAGTTCGGAATAGGGAACCATTTCAAGAGCAGACCTGTTCCTCTCCAACACTGAGCAGGTCCAGTGATCCCTCATCCTGCCCCAACTGAGTAGCACTTGGTTGAGGCTGTTGTAGAATGAGACCACAAGCCAACCACATCCTGAGGTCTTGAGATGGAAAGTTTAGGAAACATTTCATAACCACAGGTCCTTCCTGGCTTAAGAGCACCAAATGGCAAATCACCAAGAAGACATAAAGATGGGGTTAGGAGTCATGGAAGGAGTTAAGACCTCAGGTGGGAAGGAAGCATTATTTCTGCTAAGCCTGTCTGATTCTCCTGAAATGGGGCATGCATAACTGCTTGCATTGTAGCTGCTTGCTGTTCCTGATTTCTGTTTCACAATCCAGAAGCAGGTTACTGCTTCACTCCATCGCAGCCACTTCCTCTTGAACTAAGGGAGGCAGGGCTTGTCTTCTCTCCTCAGAGCAGAGTCTGCGATCTTCCCAGCACAGACGTTTGGACAGAGCAGGCTCCTAAGGTCTCCAGAATGCCCGTGCCAGCCTCCTGGCCCCACCTTCCTAGTCCTTTCCTGCTGATGACGCTACTGCTGGGGAGACTCACAGGTGAGCACTGCCTTCGGTTAAAATCTTTTTTCCTGCCCACTGAGCCATGGCCTGTCCCTGGACTTTCAGGGATTCCGGACAATGACAAGTGCTGCCAAGAAAGGCCAAGGATTAGGCTTTGACTGAGAGCAGAAAATCAGGGAGCTGAGCACTTTCTCTGTGGATCTGCAGCTGGCTACCAGAGGCATTGAACCACAGGACGATTCAACCACCACAACAACAATTACTTACATTTTGATAATATTTCAATTGAAAAAGCAGAGAAGAATCATTATCTAAATCCTCACCAGTCCTGAGGCCCTAGGGCCAAGTGACATGCCCAAGTCCACAGAGTAAGCTCAGAGACACCCTAACAGGGTTATGTGGCTCTAGGCCCAGCCCTCTCTCTTCACCAAACTGAGGATGTGAAGTCTGTAATAGTGCTCACTTGAGTAGGGCAGTGGTGTGGTGTATCCTGGGAGTGTTCAGCCACCATCCTCCCTAAGGGTGCTCCTCACTTTGTCCTCTGTTCCCCCATGCTCCTCCCTCCCCTGTGACCTGATTCTTACCACCCATTTCTCTGTGGCCTCTTCCTCTTTAAGAAGTTCCACATTTGCTGCTTACTGGGTCCTATATTCCTTTCCTAGGGCTTCCATAACAAAGAACTGCAGGCTGGGTGGCTGAAACTACAGATATTTACTTCCTTGCAGTTAAGGAGGCTGAAGTCCAAGATCAAGGTGTCAGCAGGGTTAGTTTCTACTGAAGTCTCTCTCCTTGGCTTATACAGGGCCATTTTCTCTCTGTGTCTTAAACACATGATCTTCCTCTGTGTGTGTCTGTGTCCTCATCTCCTCTTCTTATGAGAATATCAGTCTTGTTGTATTAAGGCCCACCCCAATGACCTCATTTAACTAAATTACTTCTTAAAGACCCTGTCTCCCAAACTGTAACGTTCAGAGGTGCTGGGGATTAGAGCTTCAACACATGCATTTTGTGGGACACATTCAGCCCATAACAGGTACTACAACCTCCTTTGGTTCTCTTAAATTTCCCATGGATAATTTCTTTCCCCTTCCCAAGACAGGCAGGATTGGAGGGCCTTTCCTGGTGCAGCCTGGGAGAACCCTGCTCACAGCTCCCAGACAAGTTACCTGTCCTGATCCCTTCTCAGGCCATGGAGCTGACCCCAGAACCACAGGGCTGGGCACAGCAGCCTCTCAATTCCCCACTGGGCCCTGCTGTGATGTCACCTCACAGGCCCTAGAGGGCAGGGGTCTCACTTTTCAAATTATTTTTCTCACACATACACTGTACCCAAATGACAGCAGTAAGAGTTTAACAATTGAGCTCTTCCTACCATGTAGACACAGTTATTAGCATTTTGCCTGTTTTAGCTCCACTAATCCTCACAACATCCCTGTGTGAAAGCTGCAACTATTATCCCCTATTTCCAAACAAAGACTCAGGCAGAGGGAGGAACTTGTCCATTCATTGTCCCCTACCTCAGTCAGTGGAGCAGCTGAGATTCAAGTCCAGGTCGACCGGCTCCAAAGTTCATTCTTTTAGTCGTGTTATGCTACTAGCAGAAATATTAGAAAATGCAGGGAAGTAAACATAGAATTAATTATTGCCTACCACACTTGTTAGCAACAACCAGAGTTACAACTGTGATGTATGTACTTCTAAATTTGTTATTAATGTGTTGGATGCTTTCTATGGGCCACATATTTTACTTTCTATGGGCCAGATATTTTAATGAGATTTTAACGTGTGTTGTAATTTTATTTAATACACAAAACAAACTTATATACTATCACAATAGGTCACACTTTGATATATATTTGTGAATGTATATGTGTGTGTCTATATATACATATATATGTGTGTGTGTGTATATATACATATATGTGTGTGTATATATATTTGCAAATGTGTGTATACATATGTGTGTATACATATGTATATGCATGTATGCATATAAGTAAGTGTACATGCACACACAGGAGATTTCATTTTTTATCATTGTTTCTCCAAGTTTCTAATTTCAATGAAACTTTTAACAAAATATTTTATTTTTATTTGACAGAACTGTATATACTTATCATGTATACCATATTAATGAAATATGTGTACATTGCAGAATGCCTAATTTGAGCTAATTAACATATGACCTACCTTGTATATGTATCATTTCTGTGGTGAGATCTCTCAAAATCTGCTTTCAACAATTTTTGAGGTTACGAATTGTGTTATGAACTCTAGACCCCATATTGTACAATAGATTTGTGGAACTAATTTCTCCTAACTAAACTGAAATTTTGTATCCTTTGACCAATATCTCTCCAAATGCACCCCCTGCCTAGTGCCTGGTAACCAATATTCTACTATCTACTTCTATGAGTTCAACTTTTTAAAATTCCACATATGAGAGACATTATGCAGTATTGTCTTTCTGTGCCTGGCTTATTTTACTTAGCATAATATCTTCCAGGATCATTTATATTGTTGGAAATGATAGGATTTCCTTCTTTGGTCAGGCTGATTAGAATTCCATTGTGTATACCAATTTCCTTTCTCCATTTATCTGCTGATGGACATCTAGGTTAATTTAATATCCTGGCTATTGTAAATAATGCTGCAATGGACATGGGAGCACAGATATCTCTGTGACATGCTTATGTCATTTCCTTTGGATGTATGCCCAATAGTGAGATTGCCAGATCATATGATAGTTCTATTTTTAATTTTTTGAGGAGCCTCCATACTGTTTTTGCTAATGGCTCTACTAATTTACATTCCCACTAACTATGTGCAAGAATTCCCTTTTCTCCACATCCTCTCCAAAACTAGTTATCATCTTTTTTATAGTAGCCATTCTAACAAGTGTGAGATGATAGCTCACTGTGGTTTTAATTTGCATTTACCAGATGAATAGTAAGGCTGAGTATTTTTATAGGTCTGATGGCCATTTTAATGTCTTCTTTTGAGAAATGGGTTTTAAGATCTTTGGCCCATATTTTAGTTGGGTTGTTTTCTTAATATTGAGTTGTTTCACTTCCTTATATATTTTGTATATTGACTTTTCATTAGATGCATGGCTAGCAAATATCTTCTTCCATTCTGCTGGTTGTCTTTTCACTCTGTTGATTGTTTCCTTGGCTGTGTAGAAGCTTTTTAGTTTGTTGTAATGCCGTTTGTCTATTTTTCTTTTGTTGCCTGTGCTTTGGGACTCATATCTGAAAATTCATTGCCCACACCAATGTCATGGCACTTTTCTTCCAGTACTTTTACACTTTTAGATCCTACACTTAAGTCTTTAATACATTTTGAATTGATTTTTGTGTGTCATGTGAGAGGAAGGTCTAATTTTATTCCTCTACAGATGGATATCCAGGTTTCCCAATGCCACTTTTTGAAGAGACTGACCTTTCCCAATTGTGTCTGCTTGACATTTTTGTCAAAGGTCAATTGAGTGTAAATGTGTGCGTTTATATCTGGGCTCTCTGGTCTGATCCATTTGTCTATGTGTCTATTTTTATGCCAGTGCCATGCTGTTTTGATTACTATGGCACGGTAGTCAAGTTTGAAATCAGGCAATGTGATGCCTCCAGTCTTTTTGCTCAAGATTGCCTTTTCTACTCACAATTTTCTATGACTAATGTGAACTTGAGGATTGTTTTGTCCATTTCTGAGGAAAATGTCATTGAAATATTACTAATAATGAATTGAATCTGTAGATCTCTTTGGGTAGTATGTATATTTTTAACAAAAGTAATTATCTAATCCACAAGCATGGATATCTTTCCATTATTTTTGTTCTATTTATTTTTCATCAGGGTGTTATAGCTTTTTTTGTGGAGGTCTTTCATGTCCTTGAGTAAATCTGTTTCTAGCTATTTTAGCTTTTTTGGTAGTAATTGTAAATGCGATTACCTTACTGATTTCTTTTTTCAATAAAGTCATAATAATGACAGTAATCAATATACATGATAAATAGGTAAATAAAATCATAAATTAGCCACTGATAAGGGAAAATAAAATAAGGTATGTGTATATAACTTTTATCTTATAGAAATTTTCATATATTCCTATTATTGATGGTATTTTCACAAAAAGATGTCCACATTTCTCAAATGCTGTTTTGCATCAAATGAGATAATCATGTGTTTCTTCTCTTTCTTCTATAAATATGGTGTATTACATTCTTTGTCATTTGTATATTGAAACATTCTTGTGTTCCAGGAATAAATACCACTTGCTCATTGTGTATATTCCTTCTAATATGCTGCTGAACTCAGCTAGTGTTTGGTTGAGGATTATTGCATCAACAAACCGAGTAATAATAATGCCAACTGTTAACAGAAAGGTGTGCAGCTCTACCTGGCAGTGATCTTAGTTTTGTATTTTCATGGAAGTTTAGATTCCAGTGGGCTCCATTTCAGATAAGCAGAGTCTGGCTTTGGGACAATTTATGGTTAAAGAGTACGACAGGAAAGTATGCTCCCCAGATCTGGACTCTAAGCCAGGAGAGCCCAATAGATAACCAGAAATTTCTTGTTGTAATGGAGTATAGCAAAAGCTGAGAGGGGCATTATATTTGCATCAAAGGCCCTGGGGAAAATGTCTGGCCATCATGAGTGGTTTAGAGACTCCAAGAGGCATGAAAGACACAGCCAAAGTCTCTACAGAGAAGAGATACTTTTATTTGTTAATTCATTTAAAGACACTAACAGGAGGGCCTGTTGATTTTAATTTGTAAGTAAAATTTGTAAATGAAGAATATGTTGCCACAAGCACCCCAGAAAAAACTTACTGATGCTGGATTATGTGACATTAATATGCATATCACATGAATCTTCTTTGAAGAGGTGTTACCAATGTTATATCATCTTGTGCTCTTGAAGAAAGGCAGATGTCATTATTGATATTGGAACAGGATCCTCGCTTCAGGATGGAGAGCCATGGCAGCACTCCAAAAGGCAACACAAAGCTGTACATAGCATAGCACAAGAAAGTCATCAGGGTGAAAAGCCTTCTCAAATTGTGGAGCCAATCAGAGTAGCAAATCAGTAAGTCATGAGTCAAAGGCATTCCCTAGGAACTTTCCACCTGAGTTTAGAATGATCCCATCCTCATTGCCATTACTATTGAAAATGTTAGAGTGATTCCTGCTGGTTGAATTTTGAGGATCACTCTAACATGGCCATGAAAAGTTCATATGAAGAGGCATACTCACAGTTCCTAGAGAAGGAAGTAGGGCAGGCCATGCAGGAAGCCATGTGGGAGGAGCTCCCAAGGAGCAGGCTCAATCAAGCAGATGGGTAGGCAAGAGAGATGGGATCCCTGGGCAAGTGCCTTTACTGGGAGTCAAGGTGGAGGACACAAGCAAAAACCATGATGGGTTTTACTAGGGTGTTTCAATGTCACTAGGTCACAGTAGAGGAGGACAAGAAGAGGAATTGTGGCAGGGACCAGCTTTAAAATACTGGTTACCTGGTCACCTGGGCAGGGTGCTCACAGCTTGTTTGTGGGATATTGAAGCATGATTTTTAAAACATGTACACATAACTGGATATCTTTATTTCTTCATACAACTTTGAGTTGCCATGTAGCATCCTTTCATTTCCACCTGAAGCACTCCCTTTAGCATTTCTTGTAGGCAAGGTTTAATGGTCATGAACTCTGTTAGCTTTTGTTTATCTGAGAATATCGTAATTTCTCCCTTGTATTTGAAGGACACTTTGCCAGGTATAGAATTCATGATTGACATATTTTTCCTCTTTCAACATTTTGAACTTACCATCCCTCTATCTTCTGGCCTTCAGTGCTTTGTATAAGAGCTGAGCTGAAAATCTTATTGAGGGTCTCTTTTATGTAAGGAATCACTTCTGTCTTGCTGCTTTAAGGATTCTCTCTTTGACTTTAGTTTTCAACAGTTGGGTTATAATGTGTCTTAGTGTGGGTCTCTGAGTTTATTTTTGAGTTCAACTTGCATTTCTTCTGTGTCTTAATAGGTAGATTCCTGTATTTTATCTAGTCTGTGAAGGTTTTTGTCCACTATGTCTTCAAATAATCTTCTATTCCTTTCTCTCTTTCTCTTTTTTCCCCCTGGAACTCCAGTAAGGTGTATGTTGATACATTTGATAACGTCTCACAATTCCCTTAGATTCTGTGCTCTATACTTTATTCTATTTTCCACCAATACCTCAGTCTCAATAATTTCAATTATACCATCTTCCAGTTTTCTGATTATTCTTCCACCTGCTTATACCCACTGGGGGACCCCTCTAGTGAACTTTTAGTTATTGTACTTTCAATTCCTAAGTTTCTGTTTGATTTCTTCCTATAATTTCTCTTTCTTTACATTCTCATTTTGTTAAGACATTTATATTCCTTTAGTTCTTGGTCCGTTATTTCCTTTACCTCTCAGCATTTTTAAGGCAGTGATTTTAATATCTGGGTCTAGTATCAGGGTGGAGCTAATACATCACAAGTGTGCTTATAAGAAGGAGGAAGGAGATTAATTCTTGGAGAATGACGTTGAAACATCCCTGTATTCCAGGATGTTTGCATGTGAAGATGCAAGAGGTTAGAGTGGTGGGAAGATGTAACTGTGAGAAAGGAATGTGAGAAAACTCTAGAATTTGAAAAGGCAAAAAACAGAGCCTCCAGAAGACACATAGCTCTGCTGAAAGCTCTTTAAAAATTGTGGAAATTGAAGGTGTAAAACATGATGCTTTCATATACGTACACATATACATATACGTAGTGAAATGATTATTAAAGTTAAGCAAATGGACACATCCATCATCTCCCATAGTTATGCTGCATGTGTTGTATGTCAACAGCACCTAAAATGTGCTTTTTAAGCAAAAATACAGAATTCAATACAACATTATTAACTAGAATCCTCAGATTGCACATTCAATCTCTGGACTTCTTCGTCAGACTTACTGCAATTTTATACCTTTTGACCTCCCCATCACCTCCCCTAAGTTCACCCCTAGTCACCACTGTTTTATTCTCTATCTTTGTGTATTTGACGTTCTTCATTTCTTCTTCATTGTACCCCAGTAACACTATTTTGGACTTCTAACCCCCAGAACTATAAAATGTTACATTTGTTTTAAGACACTAAGTTTTGGTAATTTGTCACATCAGCATTAGGAAACTTATGTAATGTGTTTATGCTATGGGTGAAATATTACAAGGGGCTTAAAACAATGTTGTATTTCTACTGGAAGCTACATATTCAGTGTGGATTGGCAGTTCTGCATGCAACGGTCATTCACGCATCCAGGCAATGGAGCAGGCCCCATTAGAGCCTTGTGGGTCTCAGGAAGGGAGAAATTGATCCACAGAGGCTCTTGCAGTTACATGCACAGCCCACAAATTATACCCATCACTTCTGCTCGTAACTCAAGGGTCTAAAGAAGTCACACGGCCCCACCCAATCCATTGATGCAAAAAGTGCAACACTCCATGTAGCCACAGAGTGGAGGCACATATTTAGCAAAACATGGCACTTCCAAGGAGGGCTCAAGAGTTCTACTCAGGTCCTCAACCCAAAGCTCTACATTGAAATTGAACCTCTTGGCCAGGCATGGTGGCTCACGTCTGTAATCCCAGCAGTTTGGAAGGCCAAGGCAGATGCATTGCTTGAGCCCAAGAGGTAGACACCAGTCTGGGCAACATGGTGAAACTGTGTGTCTACAAAAAACACAAAAATTGGCCAGGTATGGTGGAACGCACCTGTGGTCCCAGCTACTTGGGAGGCCAAGGAGAAAGGATCACTTGAGCCTGGGAGGTTGAGGCTAGAGTGAGCTGTGATTGTACCACTGCACTCCGGCCTGGGCAGCAGACAGAGCAAGACCCTGTCTTAAAAAAAAGAAAAAGAAAAACAAAAAGAAAAGAAAAGAAAAAAAGCAAACAGAAAGAACAAAAGAAAGTAAGGAAACAGAAATTGAACCTCTCTGTGCCTCAGTGTCCTCGCTTGTATTACAGTCTTATGTCACAGGCCAGTTGTGAGGGTTAAATGAGATAATACGTGTAGTGTGCTGAGCTCAAGGCCTTTTCCTGGTGTGCACCCGGTCAATGAAAGCCATTGATAAACACTTGAGGAAACACAGAGGATCACGTAAGGATGAAAAAATGACTGCTTTGTGCTCCTTTCCAGGGGTAGCTGGCGAGGAAGAGCTGCAGGTGATTCAGCCTGACAAGTCCATATCAGTTGCAGCTGGAGAGTCGGCCACTCTGCACTGCACTGTGACTTCCCTGATCCCTGTGGGGCCCATCCAGTGGTTCAGAGGAGCTGGACCAGGCCGGGAATTAATCTACAATCAGAAAGAAGGCCACTTCCCACGGGTAACAACTGTTTCAGACCTCACAAAGAGAAACAACATGGACTTTTCCATCCGCATCAGTAACATCACCCCAGCAGATGCCGGCACCTACTACTGTGTGAAGTTCCGGAAAGGGAGCCCCGACCACGTGGAGTTTAAGTCTGGAGCAGGCACCGAGCTGTCTGTGCGTGGTGAGTACAGCGTGGGCTTCCTTCATCCCCTAGTGTGTGACAATAACTCAATAATTACATTATCCATTCTTAGAGCAACAGTCAGGTGTGGTGGTGGCTGAGCAGCCACCCTTTCATGAACTGATGTCACCCCTTCTCCAGATCACATGAGTTGAGGCTTGGAGATGTCATGGCAGTCGCTCGAGGCTCCACGGCTTGGAAATGATGGGACAGAAGGCATCCCCAGCTTGCGGCTCTACAGCTCTTGTGTTTCCAAAGCTGATCCAGCCCTTTGGTTCCACAGATGAGGGAACTGACAATTTGAGTGACTTGCCCAGGCACAGGGCTGGACCTTGCCTTCTGCCTCCAGAGAACGCTTCCCCCTCAGGGTGGCCAAGTCTCTTCTTTATGCAGCAGGCACTCACTGAGACCCCACTGTGTGCCAGGCTCTGCCCTAGATGCTGTGCAAACAGCAGTGAATGAAACAGCCCAAAGCTCTTCCCCACCAAGCTTACATTCTCTTCCCTTCTAATGAGGAGAAATCTGTCCAGCTCATGAAGAGGGTAAATTGTGTTTTTCTTTATTTCATCCTCAGAAACACCCCACGGGCAAGATTTCTGGGAGGCACATTCACTGTTGAATCTGATGGCCTGGTGGGAGGAGATGCCAATACGTTTGGCATTTGCTGTGGGTCTATTTGGGAAACCCTTCTGCGATTTGGGGACTGAGTCACACAGTTACCATGGGCTCCGAGCAGAGCTGCATCATCTCAGAATGTCCCTCACCTCAGGAAAGAGGTCCCACAAGTGGGTGACTTAGGGGTTTCCCATATAAGGCTGCAACAATGCTTATCTGGGGTTTCCTCCCAGAGGCCCAAGAGCTTCGTCCTAAGTCCTGAATTATGGAATGTCAGCACAGGAAGGACCTTCAGACCATCCAGCCCAACCCCCTTTACAGATGGGAGACTGAAGCCAAGACATGACAGGGGCCTTGTCCATGGTCACAGGGCCAGTTAGTGGCAGAATTGGAGCCAGAGTCCATATCTGAATCGTGGCAGTCTCCTTCCTTCCCCAGCGTTAGACGCTGTCTCCATAGAAGAGCCTGGTGCATCATAGGTGCTAGATAAAAGCTCCTCAAACAGAGCCAGGTGTCAGAGAGCCAGCATTTCTCTTTTCATCAGTTTCCCAAATGTTAAGAATGCACCTCACATTCAGATACTAAAGCTTGTTTGTGATTGGAAAACTTCTCCCAAATGTAAGCCCTGTCATTCCATATCGAGATTCCACGTCAGGACATAGAGAGCTGCTCCAGTGTGTTTACAGCTGAAAAATACTCCAATCTATGGAAATATCAAAATTTATTTTACAGTCTTCTGTTGATGGATATGTAAGTTATTCCCAACCTTAGCTACTAAAGCAATCATGCAATGGATGACCTTGTACATGTGTCACCCTACTCAGGCGGGAGACACCCACTGGAAGTGGCGTTCCTAGGTCACAGGATAGTGTGTTTTCATATTTGAGAATATTGCCTGATTTCCCTCCTAGATGATGTAGCAATCAGAGATTACAGGCATAGGCCACCACGCCTGGCTAATTTTGTATTTTGTAGAGACAGGGTTTCTCCTTGTTGCTCAGGCTGGTCTCAAACTCTCAACCTCAGGTGATCCACCCACTTTAGCCTCCCAGAGTGCTCAGATTACAGGCATAAGCCACCGTGCCCAGCCCCACTTCAAACATTTTTAATACAGTGGTTTTAACATCTGCCTCTAGCATCGGGGTGGACACAATACATAAGAAAGGTCCTTACAAGAAGGAGGAAGGAGATTAATTCTTAGAGAAGGATTTGTGAGGGTGCAAGCAAGAGGTTAGAGTGATGGGAAGATGTAACTGTGAGAAAGGAATGTGGGCAGCCTCTGGAATTTGGAAAGGCAAAAAACGGAATCTCCAGAAGACACATAGCTTTACTAACAGCTTTTTAAAAAAATGTGTATATGTAAAGCGTAAAACATGATGCTTTCATGTACATGTATGTATATGAAAATGTACATTGCCCAGTAATGACTGAAATCAGCTCCCCACAACCCTTGAACTTAGACAAGGAAGGTGGCTTTTTCCTGATTGTGCAGATAATATTGGCAAAGACACTGAAATGCCCAGGTGGTGCCTCCCCAGCCCAGGCAGTCACAGCCAGTGGTGGCTCAGGTGTGACTCAGATCTGCTCACTCCTAGTGAAGTACTCACTCCTCTTTGCCATGCTCTCGGCCTAAATGATGAGCTACATGAGAAAGGAGGGAGGTGGGGAAGGGGGCCAGAGAGCAGCAACTGTGCCAGAGTCTCCTTATAACCAGTGCTATGAGGGAGAAGCCATTTGCTACCTCCTTTAAAGATGAGGACACTGAAGCTCAGAGAGGAGACCTGACTTGGGAGCAGGTCAGGGAGCCAAGGCTGGAACCCCGCAGCCTGACTCACAGCCTTTGTCTTTGTGACACTCAACTGTGGTTTTTCAAGAGTGGAGAAATGCTCCAACCTTCTCTTTCTAAACTCTTGCATTGTTCAGTTCTACAGCAAAAAGCATTAAAAACAAAACAAGAACCCTGTAGGGGTAGGAGGGCCTGTCTTCACACTCCCATCAGAAAGGCCCTGCGCGTGTCTCATGATATGCCAAGCCGGTTCCTAAAGGACAGGTCTCAACACACATGAGGCATTTAGGACTCTTCCCCCATGTTGTGTTGTTTCCTCTTCACTCAGCAGCGTCCAATGAGCAGAGTCGAGCCTCCTGCAGCCCAGCAGAGCACGTATCTGCCCGTTCATGGTGCTGAGGACTAAGGATGAGGAGATGAGGCATTTCCTAGAGAGTGTTTGGGGCCCATGTGAGCAAGAGTTGAGATTCTCCCCTCCGGCTGTCAGGAGCCCACTGTCTTTTGCTTATGGCTGCAGGGTAACCAGGCCTGGGCACCCAGGAGGGAGGCTTCTCCCTAACATTGCATGAAGTCTAGAATCTCAAAGGGACAATTGAGGTGGCAGTCAGTGTTGGAGCTCAAGAAGTTAGAACACTTGCTCTGTTAATGGACATAAGTGCTTGGTGGGACACAGGAAATGCCCACTGGGACACATGGAGAATCGGGAGACAGTGCCTTCATTTTGTTCAGCCACGGCATCTTCATCTGTAGAATAGAGACAATCATGGACTCCTTTAGGAAAGTCGTAAGCGTAAGGTTCTCTCTGTAAATCACCTAGCGCACTGTAGGCACCCCCAAAGTGAGGTGTTATTTCAAGATCGTGTGATCTTGGGCCAGTCTTGCCTTCCCTTGAGTCCTCGGTTTCCCCATCGGTGAGATGCTGATTATCATGGCCTATTCTGGGTTCTGTGAGGATTGGAGAGGATGTGCACAGAGCCCCTAATGGTGGTGTCATTCAGGTTATTACTGAGCTTCTGCAGAACTGTCGTTAGGAGAACACAGGCAGTATCCCAGCTGCCTGGGCCTCTTCCCGGCTCTGCCACTTCCTGGCTCTGTGACCTGGGACAAGGTGCTTCACCACCATAGGCCTCGATGTCCTCACCCTTTGATGGTAACACTGACCTCACAGACTGGGCCGAGTCTGAAGGAGTGATATTGTGTAAAATGCTTAGGGCATCAACAAGCACACAGTAAATGCTCAATAAAGGTGAGTTGTGTTAGGGTGAAGCTGTGTGACCTCAGACAGGTCAGGGCTTCTGTAGGCCCCAAGTATAAATGGGGTTTGGGTTGGAGTCCAGTGGCTTTCAACCTTGGCTGCTCATTAGAATCATTGGGAAAACTATCAAAAAAAAAGTTTGCAAAGCTGGACCCAGGAACCCCCCTAAAATGCCAATTTAATTGCATCTAATTTGGGCCTGGATATCTAAAGTTCTTAATGGCTCCAGAAGATTCTCATACACAGCCCCCTAGCAAAAGCGGTGCCCCAGGTTTTGGGGCTTTGAGAACAGCTTTTTGGGTCATGGGTGCTTCAAAACAGCCATTCTGGAAACATTCTGGGAGGCCCCAGAAGCCTGAACAGGACCCCTCCCATGCTACTGGCCTCAGGGCCCAAGATAGGAGACTGGGACAAAGCCTGGCTCAGATGCAGCCTCAGGGCTGGGGAACCTTCTGTCTTGAAAACATTTGTATCTAAACACGTGCTGGAGTCCCAGCAAATCCTCACTCCTCAGCCCCAGAAGCCTCCCTCCCTCAGCACTCCCAGATGTCACTGAGGTATCTTTTCCCTCCTTCTTCCAAAATGCTTCCAGCTTCCCCTGTGATCTTACTTGAAAGCCAGTTCGCCAAACATGGTGGTTGCTGCTCCTTTTATCATTTGGGTTTTTTCTGGCAGCTGCGGTGAGTAGGGTTTGAGCCTTTCCTTGGTGTTTGTGTGCCTCTTTGTTCTGTTGCCTAAAGAATAGCTATGCAGCTCCAGAAGCAGTAATGACCAAACCTCATGATTACAGTCACAGGGGCTATTTATTAAGCACCTACTACATGCCAGGCTATGCCCTTGCACTTACCCTCACTCATCTTCCCAGGGTGGGGTTTCTATCTACTTTTGGCCCTTGGCCACCAAGGATCCTCTCAGAGTCTCGCCCTACACAAGGGCTCACATGAGGACCCCCTCTGACAAATAGAGGGAGGATTGAAGTGTTGAGAGGTACAGAGAGAGCAGCCAGCATCAGGCTGCCAAGAAGCCCTCAAAAAATCGGAACTGAAGACAGCCTCTCAGCCTTCTAGGGACACCCATGCTGCTGGTGTCTCAAAGACTTGACATCTTCAAGTGACACCCTCCTTACTGTGCTCTCACATTATTTCACGCATATCAGGGAGCAAGTTAATATTGGCAAAGTCAAACGTATAATATGTGCTTTCTAAGAGGACGGCAGAAGGTTCAAGGTAACAATTAGCAATTTGCAGACACCCTTAAAATTCATCTACATGGAGAAACTGCACTCGTTGTTCTGATTCTCCAATGTGTTTGCTTTCAAGGCCCAGAATAGGTTTCTGTCTGTTGGTGTGGCCTGGGTCTTTGTCTCTTGTAATTAATTAACGATGAAAAAGCTAACCACCTTTGGCTTTCTTAGTACTCAGTGATCCTTGTTTTTCACCCAAACCTGTCCTAACTGAAGATTCAGATTCCCAAAAATTTCCTCTTTTCAAATTTAGGACTTCCAGCAGATTAGAACAACTAACAACAACAGCAAAATGATTGTTAGGAAGGCCAAAGGAAATAGCATTTATCTGAAAGATAAAGAGGTGCAATTTGGGTACACTGAGTCAGTGAAACCCTGAATAGTGTCCCGTATGGCAATACAGGACCGGTTTTTTATAGGGGATTTTCACTAAAGGTTGTTTTTGGAAACAGTTCATTAGCTGGTTGAAAATCCTCAACTGCAAACCCACTCTCATTGGTTATTTCATTAAAGTACTCCAGGTGAAAGAGATCAAAATCCCACGGACCCTGGCTTCAGTTGTTATCCAGGTCTATCTACTGCAACATCCTGTGGCTTGACCTCTAGCAGGTGTGATTCCAATGCTCTTACAAACTCTTGGCTCTACGTTAAAGCTTTATCCTTAATTAATGCCTTTTATTTGACAGAACGAAATATTTGTGAAAAGAAAAATACGGAATGTTTCATATTTTTATAATACCTAAAGAGAGACCTCTGTGTATCTGTAAAGTCTGGGTTAAAGATAGATCTGTGTTTTTTCGGGGAAGCATCTTCTGTGTTTGATCCAGAGCAAAACTGCTTCCATTGCCCCATTGAATCCTGGCGACATCCCAGGAAGTAGAAACGCCGTCCTCCGTCCTCCTGTTTTGCGGATGAGGAGCTGGGGGTGTCAGCCCACCCCTGTCCTGGGCTGAGCAGCCTGGTTGCAGCTCTCACGGTGGTGCCACTTTGCCATTGATCCCTGTATTGGCTTCTATAAATGCCCTCTCTGAGGTTAGTGAGCCTTCCGGGGGAGGACAGCTAGGACCAGTTAATAACATGGAGGGAGACCAATCAGTAATTTTGTTCCTATGCCCAGATTGGTGGAAGTCTCCCTGTGTGGAGAGGACTTTGAACTCAGGCCTGGACTTCCCTCTGGGCCCTGCCCCTACACTGTCTCACCTCACATGGGTCCTCACCTCTCCCAACCTTTGCATCCTGCTCTGTAAAATGACAATAAGGACACCACCCTCATTAATCTTTCCACATTATTGGAAGGATAAAAAATAATGTCTCAGAAGGTTCTTAACATCTCACACACTTATCGTTAGTGATTGTCATCTGAGTCATGTCTCCTGATTATCGATGGTCCTTTTGTAGCCAAACCCTCTGCCCCCGTGGTATCGGGCCCTGCGGCGAGGGCCACACCTCAGCACACAGTGAGCTTCACCTGCGAGTCCCACGGCTTCTCACCCAGAGACATCACCCTGAAATGGTTCAAAAATGGGAATGAGCTCTCAGACTTCCAGACCAACGTGGACCCCGCAGGAGACAGTGTGTCCTACAGCATCCACAGCACAGCCAAGGTGGTGCTGACCCGCGAGGACGTTCACTCTCAAGTCATCTGCGAGGTGGCCCACGTCACCTTGCAGGGGGACCCTCTTCGTGGGACTGCCAACTTGTCTGAGACCATCCGAGGTAGAGGACCCTCACCCAGCCCAAGCCCACACCTGACCACCAAGCCCACCCCCCACCACCCTCCACTCATCCAGCTCTACTCTTGCTCCAGGGCTTGAAATGCCTGGAACCTAAATTCCTAACTGCCCACCTCCCATGCCCCTAGATGTGCCAGCCACTTACTAACATTTTAATGGCAGTGGCTGGGTGACCACACCACCCACCAGGTGCCAAGGACTGTGCTAGCCGTTTCATTTATTTCACTGATAGCAAACACAGTTAATGAGTACCTACTATGAGCTAAGCCTCTATGTGCTTGGTGATTTTCTTTATTTTGCTACAGTTACAGCATTCCAACTGCATGCCAGGGGTGGTGCTTATAGATTTCCCTCATTCTTAGCCTAGTAGGAGCTACCAGTCCTTGAGCACCTACTGTGTGCTGGGCGTTGTGCTTAGTAATTTCATTCATATGCAAAGAGCACCCTCAATGTCTGAGCACCTGCTGCATGCCTAGCACTGTCCTGGTGATGCCCTCACCGTGGTGGGGGAGCTACGTTATGGAGCCCTCCCTGGATCTGTCTGTGCCACAAGGTCAGAGCTTCTGCCCTGTGCTGTTTCAGTTCCACCCACCTTGGAGGTTACTCAACAGCCCGTGAGGGCAGAGAACCAGGTGAATGTCACCTGCCAGGTGAGGAAGTTCTACCCCCAGAGACTACAGCTGACCTGGTTGGAGAATGGAAACGTGTCCAGGACAGAAACGGCCTCAACCCTTACAGAAAACAAGGATGGTACCTACAACTGGATGAGCTGGCTCCTGGTGAATGTATCTGCCCACAGGGATGATGTGAAGCTCACCTGCCAGGTGGAGCATGACGGGCAGCCAGCGGTCAGCAAAAGCCATGACCTGAAGGTCTCAGCCCACCCGAAGGAGCAGGGCTCAAATACTGCTCCTGGTAAGGTTACTTCAAATTTTTAAATTTTATCTTTTTCTTTCATGTTAAAATTATTTATGTTTGTCATAAAATAAGCTAGAAGTCTATAAGTATAAAGTAGAATTTTAAAGTCAGCATCATTCTCCCAAATCTCACCCTCCAAGAGTCATCACTATTAAAAGTTTGAGGTACAACCTGACAGATTTTTTGACATAAATGTGTGCTGAATGAGGAAGAAAGGAGGCAAGGGGATCATGTGTTCCTCACGTTCTGCATCTTGCTTTTTACCCCTGACAGTTGTTACATTCCCGTTTCTCATCAGCCACCCTGTCTCCTTCCTACTCCTTCTGACCTCTGCCTTGTCTGTTCCTTCCTAAACTTTTCCATTCATATCTGTGACCTGCCCCCTGCAGACTCCTGCATCTGCTGTGTGAATTTCAGAAAGACATGTGGAGTTTAAGCCTGGACCACGCCCCCAGGTGACCATGAGTGGTCAAAGCAAGGGCCTCCTTTGGGTCCCGATGGTGATATTTGACCAATAATAATCACAATGGCTCTCTGCAGATTTATTATGTGCAAGTTTCTGTTCATCTATGATCTCCTTTCCTGCTTCAACCATCCAGTGAGTCTGGAGTTTTACAGAAGGGGAAACCAGGACTTGGGAAGCAATGGGGGATATTGTTGAAGACAATTAGATCAAGGCATTAGACCAGATGACTGGCCCAAACTAATTAAGGTAAGTCTGAGGTCCTGAGGACAGGGTCACTACCAGCCTATAATGCAAATTTATGCTAATTTGAGAAACGTCTCTTTCTGCTGGGCATCGTCCCAAGGATGTCAATTTGGCCAGTGTTCCCCCATCTATGACCAAAATATATCTTATTTCCCTCTCATATAATACCAGGAGGGGTGTCTATTCCAGAAGACTTTTAGAAGGCCCAGCCACAGACTCTACGGCGTTGGCTTTATCTACTGGGTCAGTGCTGGGTCGCTGATTTGTCTGCTGGAAGAGTGAAGACAGGAAGTGGAGGACAACAATGTCCCCTATAATCAGAGATGTATGGAAAGTGCATCGTCACATCCACTGCTCACCCAGTTATGCGCCCACGCAGTTGCAAGAGGAGTCCGCAATTGGGTGATCTGATAATAGAGGACATTTTTTACAAAAACAATATCATTATAAACTTCATAAAATTTAAAATTTTATACCATTAAATTTCATAAAATTGTTAAAATAATTATCTCACATCACCTAAAATGGAGCATACATTCAAATTTCCCCAAATTTCTTTTGTAAACGTTTTTCTGTGCACCAGATTTGGTATTAATTTATCTGTAAATGTTTGGTAGTATTTTTCTATGAAATATCTGTACCTCAAGAATATTTTGGGGTACTTTAAAATTATGAATTCACTTTCCTCAATAGTTTAGGGCTATTCACATTATTCATTTCATATTGGGTGAGATCTGGCAACTTGTGCTTTTCAAAGAGTTTTTGGTCCATTTTATCTATGTCGTCATATTTCTGTGTGTAGAGTTGTTCATAATATCCCTTATGATCCTTTTGATGTCTGCAGGGTCTGTAGTGATAGCCCTCGCTTCATCCTGATATTTAAAATGTGCCATTTCTTTTTTCTTCATCATCAGACTTGCTATAATTTTTTCCCATTTTATTGATCCTTTCAAAGGATCAGCTGCTTCAGTTGGTTTTTGCATTGTTTTTTATATTTTAATTTCATTAATTTTCTGCTCTCTTCTCTTTTTTATTAATTCCTATCTGCAGCTTGCTTCGGGTTTATTTTGCTCTACTTCTTGTAGTTTCTTGAAGTGGGGATTTATATTATTGAATACAGACTTTTTCTCTTTTCTGTGTCATTTTTTTTGTCATGTTCTATGGCTGGGAGCTCATATTGTGGGGGTGGGTCCCAGGTGCCTGGCCTCACGGCTGTTCCTCAGTCCTCAGATCCCTAGCCAGTCTGCCTTCCTTTTTCACCTTGGAAGTTCTCCTATGCCTGCTCCTCATATTTCCAGAGTTCTTAGTTGTACTTCTCAAGGAGGAGCCGGAAGAGATGAATCTGCACCATCTATCTGAAGCTGAATTTGCTTTTTAGACTTCCATCCACTCACTAGAGCTCCGACCAGGGCTGCCATTTTTGGGTGCTTTCAGTGTGCTGGATGTAGCATCCTTGCTCATGTGCTATGGCAGGAAATGCGTTTTAGGTTGTCTAGGCTGGTACACAACATGCAAGATGCCTTATGTGACATACTGCACCAGCAGCGTGGCAGCCTAGTGAGATTGTGCACTAGGGTGTGGTGAAGGTTCTCTTTTGACCCACAGTCATTTTGCAGTTTGGCATTCTTTGTCCAAGTGATACTCAGAGTCAGGTTTGTGCAAAATTTACTTTTCCTTTTTTGTTTCTTCTTTTGGTTTGGGGAGGTTAGTTATAGAGATAATTAGTTATGCTGCTGCAACTGTCCCCAGAAACTCAGAAGATGGCTGATGATCTGTAAGTGCTTTGACCCAAACATTCCCTCCCACATCTCAGGGTCCCACAACTTCCCCATCAGGGCCCTAGCCCAGCATAGCAGCCCATTGAAGCTGAGATTCATCCATCTCTGTGGTTCTGCTACTCTTATAATGTTCTGGAACCCAATCTTCTATTCTTTCTGCCCTCTGGCTCCAGGAGATAACAATCTACACTGCTGCCAAGAAGTCCTCTGGTTTTTACACCGAGCCTTAATTCATGATAAGTTACTCTTAGCTTCTCATCGTCTTTCCCCAAAGAATTGATGCCCAGCAACAGCCATCAAACACGTTAGTCCTCATAACTATCATTTCCCAATCCGGTTTCAAATGCCTGATGCCAAGGAATTTCCTTCCCGCTTCACTGACAGTGAAAGTTTTATTAATTGCACCATAGCTGCAAGCCAGGGCCTGCCCAGCTCCATTCACTACCAGCCCTGGGGTCCTCATTGCCAGCTGATCTTGATGAGTGGTCAGTTTCCAAACTTGCATTTTAGAGTCTGCTTTTCAGACCATTTCCACTGTCAATTTTGCTAGGAGGCCAACTGGAGGTGGATACAGGAGTTCAGGAAGCATGCTAGAGTGCTGTCAGGGTCAATATGCCTGAGGGAGTGAGGCAGAAGTGTAGGAGAGGGACGTGCTGAGCCACAGTGCAGGCAGGACAAAGACCCAGCTGATTCTGCAGAGAAGCCAAGGGCTGAGAGAGTCCCTTAGAGTTCTGCTAATTGAGTAGAGAGGCGTGGCCTTCCTATTTTCAATTCAGCCAATCTTTCTATGGGCTGCCCCCTAGAAGGAGGAGTGCACTTGGAGAGTGCAGCTCTCCTCAGGGGAGACAAAGTCCTAGAGAGCCCCCCAGCTGAGAACTGCCGGCCTCCAACCTTCCAGCCACATATGCTGAGATCTCCATTCCTTCCTTAAGGACCCATCAGCACCATTTTATTTCCCAGAAAACGTACATGAAAACAGAAGTAAACATATCTTCATTTGTTTGCTTTTAACAGCAAAAAAATGCTCATTGTAAAAATGCAAAGAATCCAAATGTGTGCTTCCCCAGATCTGACTGTGTGTCCAACAGAGAGATTTCAGATGGCACCTGCTCTGGGGTTGATGTGAGCTTGATGTCTGAGTCCCTCCCAAGCATGACAGTCATGCCAGGGTGTTTTCTATCCACCACAGTACATTAGGCCCAGCCCCTCAAGGGCCTCCCCAGCTCTCAAGAACATGGGGTCAACCCTCACCACTGGGGCTAAACAGAGCAGCCTGCAACTCTCTCACTCTGAAGCCATCTTCATATAACCAAAAAGCATGTTAGTTGCTTGCTGCATGTAGAATCCAATCAAGGAGCGCGAGGTCTGATACAAAAAAAAGTGAATTTATTCCAAAGCTAGGTTGGGGAAGGGACACAACGTGTCCTGCTTTCAAATGTGCTGCTTCCCCTTTGGAGAAGAAAGCAGACACTTTTATAAGGTAATGGGGATGGGAACAAGGGCAGGGGTCCCTCTACTAGCCTGGTGACTTAGCTACCTGACAGTTGAGGTGGCGTCATCCTGAGCAGAAGTAAGTTGCAAACGTGGCCAAGGGGGCATGCTTTCCATATGCCCTCCTGGTGGATGAAAGTCTGGAGGCTACCCCTGGAGGTGAAGTTTCTATGGTGGGTATGCTTTGGTGTGCCAGCTCTCCAGGAGAGATCTGTCTTGGAGTATACAGAAGAACTTGCCCTGCAGGGAATGTCTGGTGAGGGGGAGGTGAAAGGTTATATTTGCATTTCTGAAGGGCTAAGTAGGAAACTGGGAGCAGGGGGAAAGGGGAAAGAAAACAAAGAAAATAAACTGTTTTTTAGCAAACTGGGGGTACTCAGTTATACTCATGACACCTACTTTCCCTTTTGTAATTCTTCCTATGACCCTGGGAAATTGGACTTGTCTTGTTCAAAAGGACGCAGTCTCAGGAATCATCCTAAGGGACATAATGATGGGCTTCCCTAAGTTTGGATGCGAGCAACCTTGTGACCCTCCCTAAATTCTCTGAGCCTCAATTTCCCCATCAGAATGGAATAATAATCCCTGCCCTACAGGCTTGTGAGGATCAAGTGAGGGACTCAGGTGCCACACATGAATGCATGAGTACACATTCTCTCCACTTCGTCCCTCCGGGAGGACAACCTGGCAGCCTGGGACAGGGTAAGGGAATGAGGAACCTCTTTCCCTGGCTTCTGCCTTGGGTTGGAGCTAGGGTAGCCAGGGTAAGATGCAGTTTCAAAAGCTTTGGAGCATTGATGGTCCCAGGTAGCCTCAGGTGGGGTAAGTGGGGGCCTCTGGGATGGCATCCTGGGTAGCCCCTTCCTAACTTCTCCTGTCTCCTGATTTCCAGGCCCAGCACTGGCTTCTGCTGCTCCACTTCTCATAGCTTTCCTCCTGGGCCCCAAGGTGCTGCTGGTGGTTGGTGTCTCTGTCATCTATGTCTACTGGAAGCAGAAGGCCTGACTGTAAGTGTGGGGGATGGATGCCTGACCAAGGGCTGCTCCAAAAGGGCAGGGCCAGGAGGAGGGCCCAGCCCACATATCATGCAGCATCAGGGTCAGTGGAGTTTAGAGAAGGTGACAGAGCTCCCTCAGCATCCTCAGGACTCTCAGGGTCTCTAAGAGTCAGGACTCTAAGAGTCTCCCAACCCCAGGAAGTGTGTGAGTGCTTGAGGAGGTGAGCTATAGCCAGGGTGTTTAAAGGTTTTTACAGCACCCAAGGGGTCGCATGAGGAGGTGAGAAGAGGAGCATGCATCAGGGGCTACTGAGTGGGTGGTCCCTTGCAGGCCATCTCTAGATTATTTGATGCTGATCTCCATGGGCCCAAAAGAATCCTCACTGTCAAGTCATGTTGAGAAACCACAGATGGGCAGCTCTTAGGGCTGTACCCATTCTGACCCTCTGTGTGCCTGAGTGGAAGCAATGAGGAGAGAGGCATCAAGACTCAGGAGGAGGGCTGAGCCAGCAGAGTCCTATCTCAGGGCTGCCTCTCCACTTGCAACAGGCATCCCAGAAGGAGACCAGCACCAGGAATACAACAGCCTCCCAGGAAATGTTTCTTAAATGATGAGCAGATGATTAAATATGGACATGTTACCCACAGCTCCTTCCCTCCTCCCCTGCCACATGGAACCCCCAGTCTCTCCTGCCTACTTCCTTCCTTGAATGGCTCTGACTGAGAGAAGGGGCTGGTGAGAAGCTTCCCCAGACTGAGCTCCAAACACCTCCCCTCCCAGGACATCTTCCTGCCCACAGGCTCCTGTTGCTCCTTTGCAGAGTCCTTGATTCTCCAGAGCAGTCTTCATTCATGGTCCTGAGCAGAGGCCATGGGATGGGGCTCTGGGGAGTGACTCATGACACCTCCCTAGGATGTGGGAAACACGCCAAATCTAAACACATCAGGACACCTCTCCTCCATCGTCTTGGACTCTCCGTAAGCCACAAACTGCAGTCCAGATTCTCAAGAGTTATTCTGCCTTCTGGATTCCTGCCTACCCAATTACCCAGCCTTGTTGAGATTCTCTATTGCCTCCTGAATACAAATTAACACTCATCCTGGTTTTAAGGAGAAAAATGATTATCCTTCCTCTTTGTTTATACGTATGATATAATTTGGATATTTTTTCCCTACAAATCTCAATGTGAAATTTCATCCCCTATGTTGGAGGTGGGGTCAGGTGGGAGGTGTTTGGGTCATGGGGATGGATTCATCATGAATGACTTGGTGTTATCTTGGTCTATTAGCACCCACAAGATCTGATTGTTTAAAAGTGCCTAGCAGCTCCCTCTTCTCTTTTTCTCTTCCTCTCTCCCCATGTTATGCCAACTCCACTTCACTGTCCACTGTGAGCAGAAGCACTCTGAGGCCCTCAGCAGCAGATGCAAGTACCATGCTTCTTGTACAGTCTGCAGAACCAAAAGCCAAATAAACCTCTCTTTATAAATTACCCAGCCTCATGTATTCTTTTATAGCAACATACATGGACTAAGACAGTGTCCTACTCCTCACACCTAGAAAGAAAGCATCTCTCCCTCCTCTCTCTGTGATGGAAACACTAGTTTTTCTATCATCCTGCAACCTTCCCAACTCTGTTGCTCATGGTAAAAATACTGTGACAGCCCTAAAGCTGTGAAGTCCTTCTTGATTTCTTCTTTGTTTATATCTCATATTCAGTTCTGCTTCAAAATGCTTATGTCCCCTGGTGAGATAGATGGTAAATGTTTGAAAGAAAACAGAAGGCTGAATTGTAGTGTTTGTCAATTTCTATGGGGTGAATATCCCCAACATGGCCCATTTCAAGCTTCTAACACTTTAACAACTAGAATACACAATTCCTGAAAATTTAACAGTTGGTTCTCCTGAGCCAGTCCAAGCCTGCTCCGGCACACAAAGGAGTTGTACTCATAACCTGCACATCTCTCACCTCCACCACTCCTCCATGGTCCCAGCTAGCATCATCTCCTCCTGGACCGCTTATAGAGCCTCTGATGGATTGCATTTTTCCAGCCTCAGTTATTTTTTGGAAAAGTCAAATCCTGTCATTCCTCGGCTTCTTCCCCGCAACAGCTGCGTGGCTCACTCTTCTGTCCTTCAGTTTATTAAAGGCAACTTATGTAAACCTCCCTATGTAAAATATCCATTTTCCTCTCCACCCTAGCATTCCAATGTCTCTTAATTTGATTAGCTTTTCTCCTTAGCACTGTATTATATTACTACATATATTATACTAAATACAGGGCAGTCCTCACTTTGCATGGTAGTGCAAGATTACAAAAACGACTGTGAAAATACTGAAACCCTGGAAAGCAACTCTACATCCAAAGGGGAATATAATGACTACTCTGTGGTCCTCATAATTTTTGTCAAAATATTAGAAAATATAATATTATCAGTTGCAAATGTGGACAGAAGGGAAAAATATTTAGTTTATGGTAATTCAAAGGATTAGAAACATTGAGGATTAAATTATTATTTCTTTGTAAAACATAGCAAGGATAGTTGGAACAGTGCTTGTCTTCTTGTATATTTCTGATATGGAACAAGCATAAGATGATGAGAACACTCTGGTATAATTTGAAATGGTCCCCTTTCTCCTTCCTCTTCAGGAAGCACTACTGAATATTTCTCTCATACCCACTATGAGGACCAATCAAGCTGCTGTAGGTAAAATTCACAGAAGTGTGGGAGTTCCCATGACTGGGTCCTCCTGAGTTTTTAGCTCAGACTGGTCCTCACTGAACTTATAGCAATTCACCATTCATGGTGCAGGTTTTCTGACCCCAGCACTCTTTCCCATGGAGGTTTCTAATTCAGGAAGTTGTAATTCTCCATATCACCCTGCTGTCTCTCTAATTTTGCCCTATGACCTCATTTCTCCGACAGATCTAAGAGCAGTTGTTGTTTTTTGATTTGCTCAGCTTGTTAGTTGGTGTTGGTTTGAGAGACTTCTTGTAGGGGTCACCCAGGAGATTTGGTTCCACCCCCAAAGGCTTCTGTAGCCACAAGCCCTCAAATGTGCCACACCTGGAATTATGGTCTCTGAAGCTGCAAGCTCAATCCTTGGCTACAGAACCCTATAGGTCTGAACTCTCAAATTAGGAAGGGTCATGGGACCCCTGGCATGAGGTAAGAGTCTCTGGGACATAGAGCAGGCTCTATGTCAGTCAACCTCTCTCCAGTACTGTCCAAGGCTCCCAGGTCTGGGAACCCCAAGCACAGACGTCAGCAACTTCCTAGCAGTGGCAACTGTGTCCACTTCCTCTTTCACAATGGAAGATGGCCCCAGTCTCATGGCCCCTTCCTCCCACAGCAACTTCCCTCCTGGGACATCATGGCAAGGTGGGGCTTCTCCTCCCCTGCAGAGCATAGAGTCTGAGGTCTCTTCATGAGAGTCATTCAGACAGATATCCCCAGCCCTGTGTCCCAGCTCACCTGGACAGGCCCTGCCACCTTCTCTGCTCATAGGACTCACAGTTGTGTGCAGCCTGCTCTATACAGGTGTATTTCTATGTGATGTCTCCTCTCCCTCTCAGTCCATCTCTCCTGTTCCTCTGGATTTCCACTTGGGAGCATTTTCTTGTCTCCTATCCCAGCATGAGGCAAGATTTGGAGCACTTTTTCTATGAGCATCTGTGTAGACCCTAATTAGGATGCACCTTGCCCTAGTCATAGTGATTCTCCCCAGAGGCCATGGCTGCACCATGACCTTGGTGCTGAGCACATGATCTCAGCACCCATGATTCTAGGGCTAAGCACATGACCTCAGCTCATCACCATGGTACCCCCACCTCCCCCAGACATTGGCCGAGGTTGTCACATAACATCATAAATCCTTGAGGGCAGAGGATCTGTTTTTTAAAATTGTTGCTATTACTAAAATTCTACCTAACAACAATAATGTCTAGCTAATATGTATAATAATAATAGTAAAACTGAATATCTAGGTTTGAGGATACAGTCAGATACTATTAGGCACTTTGCATATATCAGTTCATTTAATTCCCATAACAATCTTATGAGGTTGGTGTGATTATTATGTCCATTTTACAGTTGAGGAAACTCAAGAAACAGAGAAGTTAATAGTGTCCCCAGGGTCACACACTTGGGAGCTGGTAGAGCTTGATTTCAGACTAGGAAGTTTTAATCCTAAGCCCACAGGCCTAATCTTTAGTCTTCTGGAGAGGCATCCATGGGCTCCCAGTTCCTCATGTGTCCCAAAGTCTTCCCTCGTCATCTGCATCTAATGTCGTGAGTGGGGGCGAAATATGGTAGATGAAGGGGGGAGTTTTAGCTCATGGACTTCCAGGCTCCCCGTTCTTTCAAATATTCCAATTTTATCCATGTTGCACCAAGTCAATCTAAAGTTGAAAATGAATTCTGCACGTGATTTCTACAAAAATTTTTTACTTGAATAAGCATCTATGCATCTAGCATATCTTCATTGAAGGATTGGAGTTCCTTGAGAACTCCTTGACAGTTCCTTCCTTGGGAAGGCAACTTGCTGCTCCAAGCACGGATCCTGCCATCTTCCTGACACTATTGCATCAGTTAAAATAATTTTTTGTTTGTTTGTTTGTTTTTTTGAGACGGAGTTTCGCTCTTGTTGCCCAGGCTGGAGTGCAATGGCGCAATCTCAGCTCACTGCAACCTCCACCTCCCGGGTTCAAGTGACTCTCCTGCCTCAGCCCCCGAGTAGCTGGGATTACAGGCACTCGCCACCACACCTGGCTAATTTTGTATTTTTAGTAGAGCCACGGTTTCTCCATGTTGGTCAGGCTGATCTTGAACTCCTGACCTCAGGTGATCCACCTGCCTCAGCCTCCCAAAATGTTGGGGTTACAAGTGTGAGCCACCGCACCTGGCCTATTGCATCAATTTTGGAGTCCTGTATTCCAAACTATGATTTTTGGAGGCATGAAACTTTATGTCTCACACCTTCCAAGCCAATTGCTATTTTCATGGAAGGAAATATTCCTCTTTCAACCACTGGTATGTTTTACCTTAAATTATAAATCTTTAGATATTAATATTTCTGGGTTTTTTTTCCTTTTTCCTTCGTAAACAGTAGACTCTTATACAAATATAAAGTTTTGTACCTTTAAAGTTATCACTCCAATAAAGACACCTATTAAAATCAGCAAAACATCTTGAAATATATTTTAATAATGTACAAATGTATTCACAACATAATCTGATTAAGAGACTCCACTAAGTCTATAGTACCTACAACACAATTTACAGATACCTACAGTAGTTTCTAGGTTGCTTTAGTTTATAATTAAATCTACTGCTTTAAGAAATGCCATTAATACAAATGCATAATCTATAACATTCTCATTATAGTAAGAAAAAATATAGATTCATAAAACAAAATGTCTTTACCCATTATGTGAAGTATGTAAATGATTATTCTCATTAAAACATAAAAATAATGCGTTTTTAGTAATAAAAGATAGATATCATTAGGCCAAAGAGCATTGAAGAGCTCCAGGAGGCTCCAAAGTAAAATCTGGCTATCCTCTTATAAAATAAGTAGAACAGCACAATTTCTGGGTATTCCTTAAACATAAACTATGATAATTCATTTATAATAATTGGACCTTAAGTAAATGACTTCTTACAAATGAAAATAAACAAAACTTTAGAAACTAATACCAATTCCCTAAATTTCGTTTTTACTCATTTATGTATGTCTAAGAAATTTTACCATGAAGTACATATTAAAAATTATCAATTATTTCTAACTTACACATTAGCCAACGTGCTCACTCATACTGTGGAAACAAAACTTGCTTCTGAAAATAATCTACAGAAATAATATGTAAACACATAGAGCTTTGAAATAGACTAAGAACATACTATGTTCTATGGATCAAATAGCAAAGGCCTTCATTACATATATCAATAAACACACTTTGGTTAATTTGGGATATACTGATATTACATGACCTTGTGCATACCTCTGTATACCATTAAATAAATTTGGACGTTTGTAGTGACAACACACTTTCTAGCCCCAAGTGCTGGAGAGAAAATAAAAACTTAATATGAAAACTACTTTTGTTTGTTTTAAATAAAGTTATTAAGTGGGGGGAAAAAAGCCAACACTTTCTGTTGCAACATAAACTGAGATCTAAAAGGTTCAGAGTCAAGAATCTCTTAGGTTGCCCCCCAACATCGTAAAACACATAAATTTTCTCCCTCTATTTGAGAAGTCTGATCATGTCTAGCGTTCAACCACTTTACTCTGAAGGAGAAGAGGGCACTGTATTAGTCCATTCTCATACTACTATAAAGAACTACCTGAGGCCGGGCGCAATGGCTCATGCTTGTAATTCCAGAACTTTGAGAGGCTGAGGCGGGCGGATCACCTGAGGTCAGGAGTTCAAGACCAGCCTGGCCAACATGGTGAAACCCCAGCTCTACTAAAATACAAAAATTAGCTGGGCATGATGGTGGGTGCCTGTAATCCCAGCTACTCAGGAGGCTGAGGTGGGAGAATCGCTTGAACCCAGGAGGCAGAGGTTGCAGTGAGCCGAGATCATGCCATTGCACTCCAGCCTGGGTGACAGAGTGAGACTCCGTGTCAAAAACAAACAAACAAACAAACAAACAAACAAAACTGCCTGAGACTGGGTAATTTATAAATAAAAGAGGTGTAATTGACTCACAGTTCTGCATGGCTGGGGAGGCCTGAGGAAACTTACAATCATGGCAGAAGGTGAAGGGGAAACAAGGAATGTCTTACATGGCAGCAGGAGAGAGAAAGAGCAAGGCGGGAACTGCCAAACGCTTTTAAACCATCAGATCTTGATAACTCACTCACTATCATGAGAACAGCATGCAGGAACCACCCATGTGATCCAATCACCTCCCACCAGGTCACTCCCTTGACACATGGGGATTGTAATTTGAGATGAGATTTGGGTGGGGACACAGAGCCAAATCAAATCAGGCACTAAAAGCACATATCACTCACAGCACTGGACAGGCCATTAGTCCCAACCAGAAGATTCTTCTTTCAGCCTCTAAGACAGTTTTACTCTCTTAAGAGGATGTCTCCCAGGACTCAAATGCCCAATGGCCCTTTCCATTGTCATCAATGTGATTCCACCAACATAGTCCAATCATTACTCTACCGGTGACATTCTTCACTGCCCAAAAGCCACCTGACAACGAGATCATTGTCACCACACAGGCCACACAGGCAAGAAAGCAACTGCTGGGCGGTTCATAGAGAAAATAGGTGGCGATTGCACTGACTTGAAATAATTAAAGGAAAAGTGAGGCCACTGGATCTCTGAGTTTAAATTTCTTTGGTCTATTAGTTGTCTGCCCTCCCTTCTAAATCAAACAGTGAAATATCTTCAGTATCATCATCACTGTGCCTTCAGAGCCAACCCTGGGCACCACCACCCTCTCTGCAAGTGCTCAGCTCCTCAGCTGTTTCTGGGAAATTTTTTGACATGTTTTGTGAGATATCTTTTGTTATTCCTATATTTACACCTATTTACCTTACTCTGTTTAGGTGTGTCTCTGTGCTGAATCCTAAGGGATTTCCCCACATGATCCCCCAACCCAATAACTTACTACTTATATATATATAGTCCCCTAGTCAACCTATTACATTTTTTAAAACTGTCCTCAGTAATTATGTTTTCATTTCCAAAGTCTCTTTTTTTGGTTATTTTTCCAAGATACCTGTTACTTCATGCCTGACTATTCCTGTTTCACACATGCCTGATGTTATTTTATGGATTCACTTCCCTTTTGCTATCTTTATAAGGTTACTGTGTATGCTAATTTTAAAGACCTTTTTATATTTTATTTTTTCATATTTTCTCAGTTGTGAAGTCCTCTTGATTGCTGTTCTTGTTTTTGAGTTATTGTTTTTCTTGAATTGGTTAGCTATCTCTCATGGTGCTGCTGTTCCCCACATCTTCAGTGATTCCTTCCTGCACTGCCATCTTTCCAGAAATAAAGCCCCACCCCACGTGATGGAGTTATCAGGGCCTCCTGGAGCATGGCACCTGCCACAGCCTCACTGTGCGGGCTGTTCCTAACTGAGGCTATGGCTTCTTCTCTGCTTCCTCCTGAGGGATGTCTCTCCTTTCCAATGACAGATGTCATAGTGCAAACATTAAAAGTGAAGTCTGTGGTGTGTGGCAACCTATGCTCTAGTTCTAAAAGCTTAGTGATCTTGAGCAAATCCATTACTCTCTGTGTGCCTCAGGTTTCCTCGCCTGTAAAAGGAGGTAGGTTAATAGCAGTGCTTACTTGATAGAGTCAGAGTGATGAATTAATGAGGTAACTGACATAAAATGCTTGACACCATATCTGGGGCACAGGACTTCTGCAATAAATGATAACTGCTGCTATTCCTTCATGTCACATAAAGACTATTGTCTTGTTTTTAAGTGTAATTTGACACGGAATAATATAATTTTATCCTTTTTCATTTTCATTTTTGTGGGTGTGGAGTAGGAGGGGAAGATTTCACCCTGTGCACATTTGCCACATTGAACAGAACTTTGAATGAGAATATGATAACCTTTACATTTCATTTGACAATAACAGATGAAGGACCTAAAACCTAGCATGTGACAGGGAAGCTTCCAGACAGGCCTTTCTAAGTCATAGATGATACAAACATTTCTCCTAACAAGGTGGTTTTTCTAAAGCACAACTGTGGCAGGAAAGCAGTGAGCCCTTCTCATAAAAAAAAATTATAGCCACATTTTTTGGTTAAAATTAATTATGAGTCAAGCATTCATTATGGTTTATATTATTCCTACCCCATCTCTACAAGGTGCATGTTGGTGCATGTTATAACTTCCATTTACATACCATCAAAATAAGGCTCAGAGAAGTCAAGTGTCTTCTTGAAAGTCACACAGCTGGAAATTGTGAGAGAACAAATTAATTTGTGGATTATAAGGAGCAGGATGCAGAGAATTCAAGAGAAAGCAATTGATCTCAGAGTGGCAGGGGTAGTCCAAGCACATCATATAATCTGGGTCTCAGGAGGCCTGGGTTGCTGGGAGAAAGCCACTGGTGGGCAATTCACCATGTAGTAGGGATTCATTCAAAAGCACCACTCGAGTTCCCGCTCTTCACCTGGTGTCATTAGCATCAATAATGACCTACTGGGTTTCAGGCATGGTACAATCATTATCTCCTTTAATCTCCACTAAAACACTGCAATGAAATACTTATAACCCCCAGTTTAGAGAACAAAATTGAGCGTAGATGGCTGCAATGATTTCCCCAACTCCTTAGCACACCTTGTTGGTCAGGGCATATATACTTCCTCTCTCCTCATTTCCCATCTGAACACAGTGGTGAATGAAGTAGGTCCTCTGTGCAGAACAAAGGATATTAAAGTTGATGTGATGACCTCAGGAACCTGTCCGCCACATTCTGCCCGAATCATAACCCTATCCCTTTTCCATAACCCATGATCCTCACTTCACCCGACAAAACAGATCCTTACTAAACTAAAACTACTCCCTCTCCTGGAAGAAGTTGGGAAATGATTTCTTCTGCTGGATTCAGGCCCATGAAAGTACCAAAGTTCAGATCAGACTGAATTTGAGCTACGTTTTGCCAGTTATATCATTAAAAGGTTTGAATAAGGAATCATTTCAAGAGCATACCTGTTTCCTCTCCAACATCAAGAGGCTCCTGCGATCCCTCCTGTTGCCCCCTGCTGAGTAGCACTTGGTTGAGGCTGGTGCAGAACGAAGCAACAAGCCAACCACATCCTAGGGTCCTGAGATGAAGAGTTTAGGACACAACTCACAACCACAGACCTTCTTGGCCCAAGACCCTCAACTGGCAAATCATCAAGAAGACCTGAAGATGGGGAAGGGGGCCACGTGGACAGAACACAGGCCTCAGTTGAAGAGGAAGCATTATTTTTGCTCAGCCTGTCTGATTCTCCTGAAAATGGAGTATGAGTAACTCTGTGCTTTGTAGCTGCCTGCTGTGCCTGATTTCTAAGTTACAATCTAGAAGCAAGTTGCTGTCGCAATCCATCATAGCCACTTCCTCTTGAACTGAGGGAGGCAGGGCTTGTCTTCTCTCCTCAGAGCAGAGCCTGACATCTCCCCACCACAGACGTTTGAACAGAGCAGGCTCCTGAGGTCTCCAGGATGCCTGTCCCAGCCTCCTGGCCCCACCCTCCTTGTCCTTTCCTGCTGCTGACTCTATTGCTGGGACTCACAGGTAAGCATTGCCTTGGGCTAGAACCCTTTCTCTCCGCTGGCAGGGCTATATCCTGTCCCTGGACCTTTGGGGATTCCAGACAACCACAAGTGCTGCCAAGGAAGGCCAGAGATGGGGCCTAAGAGCAGGACATCATGGAGCTGAGCACTTTCTCTGTGGATCAGCAGCTGGCTACCAGAGGCATCAAGTCACAGGATGATTGACTCACCACCACAATTACTTACATTTTGATCTATTTCATTTGACTAACACAGAACAATCACTATTTAAATCCTTACCAGTCTTGAGACTCTGGGGCTAAACAACCTACCCAAGGACAGAGTGAGCTCAGAGACAGCCTGAGAGGGCTGTGTGGCTCCAGGCCCAGCCTTCTGTATTCAATACCCAGAGGAAGTGAAGTCTGAAATGGTGCCTGCTTGAGTTGGACAGGGGTGCAGTGTTTCCCAGGGATGTTCAGCCACCGTCCTCCCTAAGGGTGCTCCTTATTTTGTCCTGTGTTCCCCCATGATCCTCCCTCCCCTGTGACTTGAGTCTTAACACCCATTTTTTTGGTCACCTCTTCCTCTTTAACAAGTTCTGCATTTGCTGCTTATTGGGGCCTATATTCATTTCCTAGGGCTTCCATAGTAAAGAACCACAGACTGGGTGGCTGAAACTAGACATTTACTTCCTTGCAGTTATGGAAGCCGAAGTCCAAGATCAAAGTGTCAGCAGGGTTAATTTCTACTGAGGTCTTTATCCTTGGCTTGTAGAAGACAGTCTCCACCCTGTGTCTCAACCCATGGTCTTCCCTCTGTGTGTGTGTCTGTGTCCTCATCTCCTCTTCTTATGAGACCATCAATCGTATTGGATTAAGGCCCACCCCAATGAACTCATTTAACTGAATTGCTTCTTAAAAACTCTGTCTCCAAATACAGTCACATTCTGTGTTGCTAGGGTTGGAGCTTCAACACATGCCTTTTAGGGGACACATTCAGCCCATAACAGGTACCATAATCTCCCTTGGGTCTCTTGACTTTGCCATGGAGAATTTATTTTCCCTTCCTCAGGAGGGGCAGGTTGGAAAGTCTTTGCTCCCAGCTCCCAGATAGGCTTCCTGTCCTCACTCCTTACTCAGGCCATGGAGCTGACACCAGGGTCACAGCGCTGGGCACAGCAGCCTCTCAGCTCCCCACTGGGCCCTGCTGTGATGCCACCTCACAAGTCCTAGAGGGCAGAAATTTCACTTTCCAAATCATTTTTCTTACCATACACTGTATTCAAATGACAGCAGTAATAGTTCAGCAATTGAGATCTTCCTATAACGCAAAAACTGTTCTTAGCATTCTGTGTGTTTTAACTCCACTAATCCTCACAACATCCCTGTGTGAAAGCTACAACTCATATTCCCTATTTGCAAATGGGGAGGCAGGCTGAGAGAGGAACTTGTCTATCGTTCCCTACCTCAATCAGTGGAGCAGATGGGATTCAAGTCCAGGTCGACCAGCTTCAGAGTTCCTACTTTTAGCCTTCTTATGCTACCTGCAGAAATACTAGAAAATGCAGGAAAGCAGACACAGGATTAATCATCACCCATTACACCAGTCAGCAACAGAGTTAAAACCCTGGTATATGTTTGTATTCCGAAAGTTTTGTTAATCTGTTGGATGATTTCTATGTGACAAATATTATAGGTCACAGTTTTATATATATTTGTGAATGTGTACACACACACGCACACACACGTGTGCAGTGGTCCCCAATCTTTTTGGCACCTGGGACTGGTTTCATGGAAGATAATTTTTCCAAGGACCCAGAGTGGGTGGGTGGGGAGGTTGGTTTCAGGATGAAACTGTTCCACCTCAGATCATCAGGCATTAGTTAGATTCTCATAAGGAGCACACAACCTAGATCCCTCGCATGCACAGTTCACAATAGGGTTGGCACTCCTATGAGAATCTAATGCTGCCACTGATCTGACAGGAGGCAGAACTCAGGCGATAACGCTCACTCACTGGCTGCTCACCTCCGGCTGTGCGGCCCAGTTCATAACAGGCCACGGACCTGTACCCAACCACAACCTGGGGATTAGAGATCCCTGCATGTGTGCATATAAGTGAGTGTAAGTGTGTACACGCACACACATGAGATTTCATTTTTTATCAGTTTCTCCAACTTTAATTTCAATTAAAGCTTAAGAAAATACTTCTAATTTGAGAACAGTATACTTCTCATGTACAACATATTATGACATATGTGTACATTTCTGAATGACTAACTTCAGCTAATTAACATATGCATAATCTTACATATTGACAATTTTGTATGGCGAGAACTCCTAAAATCTATGCACTTCGCAATTTTGAAGGATATAAATCATCTTATTAACTATAGACTCCATATTGTACAATAGATATCTGGAGCTAATTTCTCCCATCTAAACAAAAATTTTGTGTCCTTTGACTAATACTTACCGAACTGCACCCCTTGTCTAGCCCTGGAAACCGTCATTCTACTCTAGTTCTTTGAGTTCAACTTTTTTAGATTCCACATATGAGAGAGATCATGCGGTGTTTGTCTTTCTGTGCCTGGCTTGTTTCACTTAGCATAATACCATCTTGGTTAATTCATATTGTTGCAAATGACAGGATTTCCTTCTTTTGTACAACTGATTAGAATTCCATTGTGTATGTATACACCACATTTTCTTTATCCATTTATCTGTTGATACGCACCTAGGTTGATTCCATATCTTGGCTATTGTAAATAATGCTGCAATGGACATGGGGGTGCGGATATCTCTGTGACACGCTGATGTCATTTCCTTTGGATATACGCTCAGTAGTGAGATTGCTGGATCATATGATAATTCTATTTTTGAATTTTGAGGACACTCCATACTGTTTTCGCTAATGGATGGCCTAATTTACATTCCCACCAACTGTGTGGGAACAGGGTTTCCTGTTCTCCACATACTCTCCAACATCTTTTTGATGATAGTCATTATCATCTTTTTGATAATAGTTATTCTAACAAGCGTGAGATGATAGCTCACTGTGGTTTTAATTTGCATTTATCTTAAGAATGATGAGGTTGGATATTATTTATATGTTGACTGGCCATTTTGATGTCTTCTTTTGAGAAATGGCTATTTGGCTCATATTTTACTTGGGTTGTTTTCTTATGAGTGAGTTGTTTGACTTCCTTATATATTTTGCATATTAACTCTTCATCAGATGTATGGTTTGAAAATATCTTCTCCCATTTTGTAGGCTGTCTCTTCACTCTGTTGATTGTTTCCTTGGCTGTGTAGAAACTTTTTAGTTTGTTGTAGTGCCATTTATTTATTTCTGCTTTTGTTGCCTGTGCTTTGGGGCTCATATCCAAAAATTCATTGCCCGGACCAATGTCATGGAACTTTTCTTCTAGTACTTTTACAGTTTCAGATCTTACATTTAAGTCTTTAATACATTTGGAGTTGATTTTTGTATGTGGTATGAGACAGAGGTCTAATTTCATTTCTCTACACATGGATATTCAGGTTTCCCAACACCCCTTTTTCAAGAGACTGACATTTCCCCATTGTGTCTTCTTGACCCTTTTGTCAAAGGTCAATTGAGTGCAAATGTGTGAGTTTATTGCTGGGCTCTCTGGTCTGATCCATTGGTCTATGTGTCTCTTTTTGTGCCAGTGCCATGCTGTTTTGATTACTGTGGCACTGTAGAAGATTTTTAAATCAAGCAGTGTGATACCTCCAGCTTTGTTCTTTTTGCTAAAGCTTGCCTTAGCTATTCATGGTTTTCTATGGCTAATATGAACTTAAGGATTGTTTTGTCCATTTCTGTGGAATTTCATTGAAATTTTACTGACATTGAATTGAATCTGTAGATCTCTTTGGGTAGTATGTACATTTTACAATAGTAATTCTCCAATCCACAAACATAGGTATCTTTCTGTTATTTGTTTTCTATTTTTTTCATCCAAGTTTTATAGTTTTCAGTGTGTAGGTATTTCAGCTCCTTGATTAAGTTTATTCCTAGCTGCTTTACCTTTTTTGGTAGCAATTGTAAGTAAAATTGTTTTACTGATTTCTTTTCCCACTAATTTGCTATAAGTGTATGAAACTACTGATTTTTACCAATTAATTTTATATCTTATATCTGTGGCCTATTTGTTTGTTGATTCTAAAAGTTTTTAGAGATTTTTAAGATTTTCTCCATATAAGATAGTGTCATATGCAAACAGGGAAAATTTATCTTCTTCCTTTGTGATTTGAATGCCTTTTATTTACTTCTTTTGTGCAATTATTCTGGATAGAACTTCTGATACTATATGTTGAATAGAAAACTTGAGAGTGGGCATCATTGTCTTGTTCCTGATCTTAGAGTAAAAGGTGACAACTTTTCACCATTGGGTATGATGTTAGCTATGGATATGTCCTGTATGGCCCTTATTGTGTTGAGGAACATTTATTTGGTATCTAATTTCTTGAGAGCTTTTATGATTAAAAAATGTTAAATATTGTCAAATGCTTTCTTTGCCTGTGTTGTAAGGTCATATGGTTTTTGTCCCTCTTTCTGTTGAAACACTGTACCACATTTAGAGATTTATGAATGTTGTACCATCCTTGAATTCCTGGGATAAATCTTACTTGACCATGTGGAAACACACAGCAGCAGCAGCAGCAGTAGTAGTAGTAGTAGTAGTAGTAGTAGTAGTAGTAGTAGTAGTAAGACTTCCCTTACTACAGTCTTCAACTCATTTTTTAGTCTACAGGAAAAACACATTAAAGAGATGTTTGATTTTCTCTGTTGCCCAGTCATTCTCCCTCCTTTCTACTTCAGTCATTTACCCCTGAAAATCCCCCAATCTGTTAAGCAAAGCAACAGGTAAGCAGACTTCTTAGTAAAATGCACTTTTCCTCAAAACAGAACTTTTGCGCATTCCTCTCTTTGAGTTCTCTCTTCCATTAATGGTAGGGTTGAGGAAGAAAGAAGGAGATAAAAGTAACAGAGAACCCTGCCTATATTATCTATATCTATAGTTATATTCATATCCATATCCATAACCATATCATCATCTAATATCCATTGAAGCCTCCAATCCTCAGGAAATCTGCCAAGTAATCACTTTACAATTTTTGAATACCCACCGTGTGCCAGATACTGTAGGAAATCACTTACATTTCTGACATCAGGTAACCATTATATCCAAGTTCACCCTCCCTCACAAATAAGGAAACAGAAGCACAAAGTGCTCCTAGGTTACTCATTGGTAACTGGTAGAGCTACGATTTGAACTCAGGCACTTTGACTCTAGAGATCACAGGTTTCACCATTACTCTTCTCAAACACTTTTGCCCTTGATCTTATTCCATGAAATTTCCGCAGATGCTGCTCATGAGGGCAGGGAGGTGATGTGGTGGGGAGAAGAGGATTTGTGGTTTTCTTCTCCTTGACTCTTCTGATTTCTGCATGTATACAAGTCGATTTTTTTTCACCAATTCACATGGGAAACACATTTTCTGGCAAATTTCATGAAAGCAATTCACTTAAAATACAATATTTAGTCTCCTGAGAAAGTGTTCCACTAAGCAATTCACACATTATACACATATTTGATGAATACCTGCTATGTGCCAGGACCTAACAAAGAACATTGTTGAATAAAAGACAAAAAGTAGTTGCCCTTTTGTTGCTTATCTCCACTGGGGAGAATGACAGTAATCAATACACATGATAAATAGGCAAATAAAATAGTATATTAGACAGCGATAAGTGAAAATCAAGTGTGTGTTTACGACTTTTATTATTTTATAGAAGTTTTCATATATTCCTTTTATTGATGGTTTTTGTCATAAAAAGATCCCCAAATTTGTCAAATCGTCTTCTGTATCAAATGAGCTAATCATGTGTTTCTTGTCTTTCTTCTATAAATATGATATATTACATTGTTTGTCATTTGTGCATGGAAACATCCTTGTATTCCAGAAATAAATATCACTTGCTCGTGTTGTATAATTCTTCTAATATGCTGTTCAATTCAGTTTGCTAGTATTTGGTTGAGGATTGTTGCATCAACAAACCAAGTAGTAATAATGCCAACTGTCAACAGAAAGGTGTGCAGCTGTACCTGGCAGCAATTTTAATTTTGTGTTGCAGTGGAAGTTTAAATTCCGATGGGTGTCATTTCAGATGAGCAGAGCCTGGCCTGTGGGGCAATTTATGGTTAATGATTGAAACAGGAGGGTATTATCTTCAAATCTGGAATCCAAATCAGGAGATTCTAGTGGGTAACCAGTCAGTTGTTTTAATGGAGTACAGCGTAGGCCATAAAGAGCATTATTTTTGCATCAAGGCCCTGAGGAAATATATAGCCATCATGAGTGGTCTAGAGACTCCAAGAGGCATGAAAGACACAGCCAAAGTCTTTACAGAGGAGAGATATTTTTGTTTAATTCATTTAATGACACTAACAGGAGTGTCTGTTGATTTTAATTTGTAAGTAAAATTTGTAAATGAAGAATATGTTGCCACAGGCATCCCAAAAAAAACTTACAGGTGCTGGATTATGTGACATTAATATGCATATCACATGAATCTTCTTTGAAGAGGTGTTACCAATGTTATATCATCTTGTGCTCTTGGAGAAAGGTGGATGTCATTATTGATATTGGAACAGGATCCTCGCTTCAGGATGGAGAGCCATGGCAGCACTCCAAAAGGCAACACAAAGCTGTACATAGCATAGCACAAGAAAGTCATCAGGGTAAAAAGCCTTCTCAAATTGTGGAGCCAATCAGAGTAGCAAATCAGTAAGTCATGAGTCAAAGGCATTCCCTAGGAACTTTCCACCTGAGTTTAGAATGATCCCATCCTCATTGCCATTACTATAGAAAATGTTAGAGTGACTCCTGCTGGTTGAATCTTAGAGGATCACTCTAACATGGCCATGAAAAGTTCATATGAAGAGGCATACTCACAGTTCCTAGAGACAGAAGTAGGGCAGGCCATGCAGGAAGCCATGTGGAAGGAGCTCCCAAGGAGCAGGCTCAATCAAGCAGATGGGTAGGCAAGAGAGATGGGATCCCTGGG